>NC_000002.12:154459314-154762345 GCF_000001405.40 Homo sapiens
GAGGCAGAGAGAGAACTTTAACATTTTTCTTGTTCTTCTTTATATTGATACAGTTTAACCTCCACTACACTTTTTAATGTCCTCCTACTAATAGGGTTATGTCATTTATCTCCATTGCAAAACTATTAATTTTTAAGGTAATGGATGCATTTGGAACTTGAGACAATTCCATAATCATACAACTATTAGGCTAATTCTATTTGATATGACCCAGATGAGCATTTTTTTCTCTAATGGAAGGATGGTTTGGGGGCATAGAATAATGGAATGTTAGCATGACAAGGCAGCTGGAGATGTCATTATAAAAAACTAAAAAAGTTGCAGTAGATTATTTGTACAAATTTATTGTGATGTCTTTCTAAGGCTTATTTCTGAAAACTACATACTTAGACATTCCTAAGGATACATATGTTTAAAGGAAATGTGTAGTATAAATTTATAGATTCCAAGTTAAAATAAAATACTGAAAATTACATCCTCCCTCCTGTGCCTTTTATTAGGGTCACCATTTGTGTGCACAAGTTTCTGGAGATAGGTATGGAGATGGGCTTCTCTCTCTGATGTTTGTCAAAATCTTAGGTGGTGTTAGCTCTACACTAAATATGACATTCTCTTATCTTCCATCTACTATGGACAGATCCAGGAGGTGCTAACTATCCTACCACAATTGGCAAGAGGTGGGAGTACAGGTTCTTTTTAACTGCATTGCAGGACCAGACTCTGAAGACAGCTGCTTAGATCTAACAGCGATTTCTTTCAGTAACAATCAAGTAGGAGAAGAGCCACATTTGCTTAGGTAACTGCTCAGTTCAGTTTTCTTTAACTTGAAATAGAATCTGACCTTTTTATCCTATAGGTAGTATAGTAGGAAGAGTATGGATTTTGAAGCCAGGTAACTAAAGTTGTCATCCCACATGGGCCACCTACCATCTAAGCTGACAGTTGTACTTGTCCATATCAACACCAGTGCCCACCTCAGGCCCACCTTGAAGGGCTTTTGTGAGGGTTAGCAATGATTCAGGTAAAGTGCCTCTTGCAGCAAATGTTAGCTACGTAAGTTTACTTCAGTCTTCTATGCTCATTGTAATTCTTCCATGTAGAAGACTAACTGACACAAAAGCTGCTTTTAATGAATAAGAAATATCCGGGCATTTTGTTTTTCTTTTCCCTCATTTTCCCATCATGTATAGAAATTGGCTTCTGTTTTGCATCATAAGCAGACTAAACACCCTGTGTTTTGTCCCTCTAGGCCTGCAAGTCAGTGGAGGAGGACTTAAACTACAGCACCCTGCAGCAGACACATTTTGGAACTTCAGCTATTTATGTAAGAAGCTCTTGAAATCAGCTTTTCTGAAAAGTGGCACCTTAGATTTACAGAAGTAAGCCCAGAATGCAAACGGTTTTAACCATTCTTCAGTAGCTACCATACTGACATCCAAAACTCTGTTTATGATAAGCTATGTTGATCCTTAAAGCTGTGCTTTATAGATAAATATTTTGAAAGGATTTCCAATGCTGTTTGACTTATTGCTGCTTTGTTTTTCAAAAGATGCAAGTAGCAGCAGAACTCAAATTAATGTACATGTGCCAGTACATGAGTCATTACGTAACTTACTTTTGACTTTAAGAGCTGAAGTTGCCCATGGCATTGAACTAATTGATATTTTTATCCTTAATTATTCTCAAAGACTCAAAATAGAACCATTTATTTTTCCCATAATAGTTTATTAGCATATTTTCTTTTTTTTTTAAATGTTTAATCTATTTAGAGAGAAAATCGCCAAGTCAGAAACAGTTGCCAACAGATGAATAGTACATCTTAGGTAAAGTTCATGCTTTCAAAACTCTTATTGGGTTCGAGTAAAACTCTGGATTCTCTTTTTTATTTTTATTTATTTATTTATTTTAGCTTATATTTAAAGTTCAGGGGTACTTGTGCAGGTTTGTTACATAGGTAAACTTGTGTCATGGGGCTTTGTTGTACAGATTATTTCATTACTCAGGTACATTCTTTTATAAGGAAAGAAATTCTTAATTTTTAATAATCTGAATATTGCCAGAAGGCTCAGTATAGAAACACTTTCCATGCAAGTTAGTGATGACAATGCAGGATGTGAAGATTTTTTGTGGTTGTTGCGGTGTGCGTTATGATTAAACGTCAAATATTGGTTATTATGTGATTAGTTATTTAATGTCAACATGTAAGAATTAAAGAAAGATGAAGACAACAATCTATTTGCATTTTAACAGTTAAATTTAAATTAACTAATCACATTGTAATCTTCAAATAGAATAAGGGAGCCAGTCAGGCAAAAGAGCTTTCTTCATTCCCTACTCAGGCAGAATATTTCAACCCCATTTTTCCTCCTCAGTGCCAACATCTGTCTCCACCTACATGTCAACCAGATGCATGTTTAGGAAGGTGATATACTTTTGGCATTCTCTGGGAATTTGCCAAGATCTTAGGCAAAAGGAATTAGGGTTAATGGGAAATAAATAGAAAAGTGAGATCTTTTTAAAAAAATGAAGTTCTCATAAATCTCAGTGAAGAAATATTATCCTGATTAAAATAACATGCATAGCTTATAAAAGATTATCATCAGCTAATCTGAGTGTATTGAAACCAAGCAGGATATATTAACATGTATCCTTATGCTTACATGCTATGTTTTGTGATTAGAGAATACGGTTTGAAAAAATCCTTTTCAAATTAAAGCTCTTGGGCCAACAGCAATTAGATAAATCTAGTTTCTGACTAATGTTCTATATTCAGATTGCTGCTTGGATATTAAGGTGGAGATCTGATGGGTAGACAGATAGAAAGGCTCATACATTTGTTATGATGTTGATTCATTTTGTGACTTCTTGCCTATTACATCCACTATTTATTGCTCCAAAATAAGAAGTATCTCTTCTAGGTCAAGTTTGACAGTCAGAAGAGAATGTCTGTAATATTCCTTCAGTTTAATTCAATTGTAACCTAAAACCACCACATTTATAGCAAATATGTTTTACAATAACAAGGTGTATTAGGAAGGGTAGACTTGAAATATGTTTTACAATAGCAAGGTGTATTAGAAAGGGCAGGCTTGAAATGGATGAATCAGAATCCAACTGACAATTCTAGCAATGAGAAAGTTCTTGAAAGCTATGGTTTTCATGTGCTAACCATTGCACTGGTCCCCATCTCCTTCCTTCTGGGAACACATGATCAGGAATGAGCCAATCATGAACCCCTTTGCCCCTCTGACTCTAGTGATTGCTCCAGAGATAGACCTATGATAGAAGCGAGGCTAATTAGATTTCCGGTTTTTTCTGTTTTATAAGTGTCTTATTTGGAACTGGAGGATAATCTTCCCATTTCCTCTTACGGTGAATTAAAGAAAAAAGACTGTGTCCCAAACTCAAGCATGTGAGGTTTCCTACTCACAAAAAGTGAGTAAGAAATTAAAAGAAAAAAAAAAAAAAAACGAGAATCAAAGTTTAGGTCCCTTGAACTAAGTGCAGTGCAGTTCTGCCCTCATCGTTTCTTTTGTTTAGATAGTTTTTCAAAAAACTCCTCTCTTGCTTAAACTGGTTCAAGGTTGGGTTTAAGTACACACAGATGAACGTGTACTGGGTAATCCATTATTTAAGCTAGCTGAACATGTTTCATCATTTGAAAAACGTAAATGATAAAATGGTCATCATGGATTTCTTGTAAAAGTGTAATCTATGCAGAGAGTCTAATTGTGCATGAGTCAAGGGGGTGCTCAATGGAAATTAGTTTCCTGATGCCACTTTTATTTCCAACATGCCACAGAAAAAGAACTTGTCTAGCAGACCTTATTATATGCTCAAGTGAAATATTTACACACCACTAATATATCTAGAGTTTAAGCTAACTGGCTGTGGCTTTCTTGGAAGTGAGGGGCCTTAATTTTTAGTACTTTATCATAGTTAAAAAAAAAAAAAAAGTAGGCCTAGTGACACAATCCCTCTCAGTTGAGGTTACTTTTTGTTTTAATACAGGAAAAAATATTACAGATTATATTAGTTACTTTTCAAGTGTAATACCTTGAAGTGTGAAAGTGTGCTTATTAAATAGCATCTATGGTAGAGTGATTATGCACTATTATTCCCCCCACAGACCTTACCTCTCTGTTAAAGGATTGCCTTGGCCAAGGAAGCCATTATATTTCTAACTCTCATAAACTGAGTTTTCAAATGACAGCATGTGAAAAAAAGTCTTTGTAGAGGCAGGGCACAGCTAGAAATACATTTCAGCAATGACTGACAAAGAAAATGATTGAATCAGAGGGATGATGAGACCTATATTTGAAAAGAAAAAGTTAATTACTTTGCATTTGATTACAATTCATTGAATATATTCATCATAATCAAAATTATTTGTAAGCACCTATATTCTAGAGACTAAAGCTAAATTTTTTATGCATGATTTGAATAGACTGAGACCCTACTTTTCTGGGAGCTTATGAGTTAAGATGGTAAAATAATGACATTAGAAACAGACATCAACATCATCAACACCTGTGCCTATCTTGATGTGCCATCTGTAAATATATTAACTTAACTATAATTTTATTTCATATAATGGACTATATATAATATTGGAATAGTGTAATATTATTTGGTATAATGCCTTCAGGAAGGAGTGGCATTGGGTCAGTGTTTAAAAGATGAAACAGAAGTAATTTTTGATAGCAAGAATGGAAAATCTCAAAGGTAATCCTTCAGATACAAAAAAAAATAAGCTAGTGTTTTTGTGACTGATGTTTCTAGTAAAATTTAAAATCAAGATTCCTAATAGTAATAAAATGTAGGCCTAAAATCAATTAAAGAAGTCATAAATTATAAAATATTCTTAACTCCTTTTGAAGAAAAACCTTTCAAAATCACTCATCCATTATTGTGTATGCGTGTGGTTGTGTGTGTGTGTCTGTATGTGTGTATGTAGAGTATTCTTATTTAAAACATGATAAATAGGCATCTTACAGGCTTGGAAGCAGGCTAAAAATATCCGCTAAACTCCCCTAGGTTTCACGGCAGAGGCATAGAGCTCAGAGTTAAATAACTGAATTCTGTTTTCAGCTAAACCCCTGACTTCTGAGAGTAAGGCTTCAAGGAGCTGTTGTTGTTGCTAAAGGCACAGCAAAAGGCATGAAGAACAGTGGTGCTTGCCGTGAAGATTTTCTAATGGAGGTGGTCCAACCCTGCTGTTTTCTAAGGTTACTGTTCACTCTCAAGCTGCCTTCATGATGCTTTCTCTGTGTATTAATTTCCTAGGGCTGTTGTAACAGAGTAATAAAAACAAGGAGGCTTACAACAACAGAAGTTAACTCTCTCACAGTTCTAGAGGCTAGATGTCAACAGGGCCATGCCCTCCCTGATGGTTCCAGGGGAGAATCCTATGCCTCTTCCAACTTTTAGCATTTGCCGGCAGTCCTTGGCATTCCTTGACTTGTATGAATGTGACATTCTAGTCATGTGGCCGTCTCCTCCCTGTGATGTCGTCACATCATCTTCCCTCTGTGTCTGTCTGTGCATCCAAAATACCACTTTTATGAGGATATCAATCATAGTGGATTAGAATCCACACTAATGACTTCATTTTAACTTGATTACTCCTGTAAAGACCTTCTTTCCTTTTTTCCAGATAACGTTACCTCCTGAGGTACTGGAGGTTAGAACCTCAATACACATTTTTGGGGACACAATTCAACCCATAACATTTGGGGCTTATGCCTTCCTTTAAGGTTGACTCACAAAAATAGGAGCCTAAAGGGATTCTTGGAGCAATTTTCAGCGCCTTCACTTTCCGCGCCATTCTTATTCATGTTTCTACACTTTATACATTTCTAGCCTTCTCACATCACACTCCCTTTTCTTCTAAAATCATACATATTGCATTATACTCAGAGTTTATTTTTCTTTGTAATACTCTCCTCTACCCCCCACCCCCTTGATAGAAATACTAATGACCTGCAATCAGAACTTCCTATAAAGAGTCATAAGAGGGAGATGATATTATTTTTAAGTGCGTTTCTTTCCACTCCACCTCTCACCTATGCAGTTTCAACTTCCACATGGACAGGATTGGTGAGTAGAATAGGACGGAACACCTACCCAGTTGTATATTGGTTTCTTGCCAAAAATACTTTTCTTTTTCCACTTTGTCATCATGCACCCTAAATCCCTTACTAGAACCTCTCCAACTAAATATTGTGTTAGTCGTGCTGAGAAGTTGATATCCTTCAATCTTTGGAAGACAAGTGACACCACCTTCTGACAAGTGGTGTCCAAGCAGCATTCTACTTTGCCCAGCATGCCTTATAAACCATATTCTAATTATCCATGTGTGCTGTCACATGAAGCATTGCTCTACACTGATAAAGAACAGTGCCCAGGGACTACCAGAAACCCACCCATAGTCAACCAAAATTAGGTTTATTAACCTGCTTCAGCAAAGAACACATATTGTAGTGAACACTAAGATGTGTCAGAAGTTAGTAAGCAAGGAGGGAGAACTTTCTGAGCAGAAGAAGCAAGAGATGCAAGGCATAAAGTTATGAATCATGATGATGTGATTAAGGAGCTATATGAAGTTTGCTATGGCATAAACTGGCTCACATGGAGGTAAACAGAAATGAGAAATAAGAAATAAGCTGTCTGGGACAGCTTTGCCTGCCGGATAAGGGCCTGGGACTTTTTTCCATAGGTAATGGAGTGCCATTGAAGAATTAAAAGCATGCTGGTGATATAATTATATTTGGATGTTGGAAATTGCTCTTTAAAATGAGAAGGAAGCACAGGTTTGAGGGCTTGAGACTTTCATAATAGTTTAGACTAGAACGGATGAGACCTTGAAATAGAGCTGTGGCTTTAGGAATGATTTTTGAGTTATGTCAGACAGAGATGAAATTGTATGGCTTAATAGGTGATGAGGATGAAGTAGAAGGAAGAATCTAGGGTAGGAATATTAAATCGATTTCAACACAGAATGATAACTGATGAATTCAAAGTGCCTGCTTGGAGTGCTCAGTTCAGACTCATTTTATGGCTATGGGAGTACATATTAGGAAAGCGGTGAATTAACCACAGTTTCCATGGCATGAGGAGGGGGAAGGAACACACTCATCGTGTGAAAATGGCATTGTGGCTGCGTAACTAGATACCATTTCATAATTCTCTCTTCCTTCCAGATCTCCAGTTTCTTTTCAGACAGCCACTTTTATATTTTATGTTCTTTAGGAAAAGGGATCATATAGGACAACTTCAATGGATATTCATAAAATGTCACTCATCTCCTTGCAGAGGGATTGTCCAAGAGCCTAGGCCTAAGCACATCAGCCCCCGTCACTTCCACAAACAAAGAGGTTGGTTTAGAAGTGGGCATGTGATGCCATTCAGTTCAATGAGATGCCAAAAGAGCTTTTCCATCTGGGAAATAACGTTTCTTGCTCTTAAGAGTAAGCTGGGGGAAAAAAAAGGGTAAGCTAGGATTAAGCCAACTGTAGTAGACCAATAAATATCCATATTGTTTAAAGCAGTTTGAGCTGAGATTTCCATTACTTGTAATCAAAACACATTACTTATTGATGCTTTTGTTGTCCTTCCTGTAGCACAACTCCCAAGTTCTTATTTTCAGTGACTAGGTGGATGTTGGTTGCGTTCATCAAGCTGGACAACAGAGGAGGTAAAGATTTTAATCCTAGGTTGGTTGGATTTGTGACACATATAAGACATCCAGAGAAAAATAACTAATAAACAATGTACATGCTCATCTATACTTCAAGAATGAGATCTAGCATGGAGTTTTAGATTCGAAAATTACTCACGTACAATAGGGGCTTTAAACCATTGTGCAAAATGAGACAGAATATTAACTTACAAGGTAAAGGGCAGTATTCATGTTTTTTTCAATGACATACAACATGATACTTAGAGTTGAACAGAAGATAAAATATTAATGTATATTGAATGTAACGGGAAAATATTGTTTTTTAAAATTTCATTTAGTTATAAAGCTGTGTGCTCTGGATCATAATATAAGATATATTTCTTACTATAAGTAGAAGTCAAAATAGCTTTCAAAACACTGATACAGAGGGAGAAACTTAGAAAGCTAAGAACAAAACCTGGGGACCATGAAGGGGAGAGCAAGAGAAAATAATTCTAAACAGGGGAGACTGAGAAGGTAAAATCCACATAGAATGCTCTCACCATTTTAAATTCATCTGTATTTACCTTTTAGCAGAAATTTCTGATGCAACAAGAGTGATGGAGAGTCAAATTTGGGTAGGAACAACATTAGGTTTAGTAACTACTCTGCCTTACCTATCTTGCACCTAGAAGAATATGCCTTTCCTTCATGCACACTGATCCTTTACAGTTTGGACTCCTCCAGTCTCCTATTCCCCAAAACTCCATCTTTTCTCAACGCCCATTTCTTTTTCCCTAGTAATGTTTGAATATTTAATAGCTCCAAAATTTTATATTCAGCTTCTTTTCATATCAGCTTAAGAAGTCTCTACTTGTAAAGTATTGTAAACTTTTTATATGACAACACCTTGGAGTGACTAGGAGTGTAAAAAAAAAGCGAGGAAAAATCCTAAGTTTTAGTTAGCTGAATTATCTTATATAAATATGACATTTTTAACAGAATTCGCCCATGTGAACCTAGATTAGACAGACTAAATCAGTTTTTTACTTGAATCATAGGAAAAACCTCATTTTTCACCTAGGAAGTGAGAATGTGAGTTATAGGAGATCCCCGGAGACTCAGTTGGATCAAAATTCAATTCTGTTTTTAAATAGATTTGAAAAGTGTGGATCACTGTTTTCAGCAGCATCCCACGTAATCATAAAAATTTCATGCTGGCATCTCACAAATCAATGGTGTTTTTCAAGACTTTCTTTTTTTTGTACATTTGTTTGAGCGGCTAGAAGGATTAATTTGTTCTCATCAGGGTACAGACCACACAATACTGCAGAATGAACATTCTAATACAGTTGTCTATTTAATGATTGCTTCTTTCTTGTGTAATGTGTATTATAATTTTGAAATATATCTGAGATGTTTGATTTTTATTGTATGTTAATTTACATTTCACATGCATTCATCTAAGAATCTGTGAAGAAAAGGGGCTCATCTCAAGGAAAGAACGTAATATTTCATTATTTAAACTGTATCTGAATCACAAAAGCAAAAATAGAATATTTAAAATGCATATTTTTACCCTGAAGATACAAAAAATAAAAATAAAAAGGAGCAATTTATGAACAAGTCTACTTATTACAGCATTATTTGTATAATAAATAATTTTGTAACGCAAAATTGCTTTGTATAATAATTCAAATGACCTTCATTAAAGAGCAGGTTGATTGAGCTATGATATAATCCCACAATAGAATAATATCCAGCTGTAAAAATAATGAGAAAGATATGTCATTATATGACTCTATAGTAATCTCCAAGACATATTACTAGGTAAAAACATCAAGTAGCAGAATGGCAGATTGCATTTTCCAAGAGTTGTGTAACTTTTTTTCATCCAACATTCCACATGTTCTTCAGAACCCAGTTACTTCCCCTTCAATAAGTGGAGTATATGACCCCTCCCTTTGAAACTTGGGAGACTTTTTGACTGTTTCAACTAATACACTGGTGATAAATGCTACTTTCAAGGCTAGATTATAAATAGTGATTGAGCTTCTGCCAGCCACCATGTCAATTATTTTAGATCACATTCATCATGTGAAGAGCGCACTTTATTTTCACTGGAATAGACACTAATTCTGTATGTGGAATTGCTTTTTCACAATTCTTCCAATATCACCATCCTTGCATTTACAACATGCTTTATTCTCCTTCGCAATGTCTCACATGGCATCACTTCTGACAAAGCAACTCACTTTGTAGAAAATGTTGCAGTGGGTTCAGGTTTATGACATTCATTGGTCTTACCATGTTCCTTATTACCCTGATGTATCTGGCCTGTGGGAAGAGCAAATTAGTCTTTTGAAGACTCAGTTATGGAGCCAGTTGGTTGGCCACACCTTGTGGGTGGGGTGTATATTCTTCAGGATGCAGTATATACTCTGAATGAGTGACTATGGGTACTGTTTCTCCCGTATTCAGGACTTATGAATCTGAGAATCAAGGACTGGAAATGATAGTGGCCAATCTCCCTATAACCCCACCGATGTGTAGTTGCTTCCTCTGTCTGTAACACTAGCTTCTGCTGGTATAGAGGTCTTAGATTACAAAGGGAGAAATGCATCTTCTGGGACATACAGTAATAAATCAAACAGAAAGCGACAGGCAAAAATGAGATTTATTGTATTTGCTAGATTGATCTCGAATATCAATGAAAAATTGAGTGAATATCAATGAAAAATTGGGTTACTACTACACATTGGGGATAAGGAAGAGTATTCCTGAATTCAGGAAATTTCATAGGGTATTGCTTAGAACTCCCATGTCCAGTCGTTAAAGTCAGTGGAAACTAGAATGACTCAATAGAGGCCGCAGTTCTAATGACTACACCTTCAAAAATAAAGATTTAGGTCACCCTACAAAGCAAGGAAGCATCACCCATCAAGGTGCTTACCCAGGTCATAGGGGATATAAAAGGTATATTGGAAAATGGTCATTATAAGTATCAGCTATGACAATTTTTCAAGTTGCAGAAAGGAAATGATAATCATTAATATTTCTTCCTTATTTTGATATGAATATAAATACATACATGTGTGTATACACATATGTAACTCATTTTCTTTCTTTCTTATACATGTCATTTTTTTTCATTCTCCCTCCCGTACCTCTACCATCTAACATGTTTTCATAGTAGCAAGCATTATATCTAAGCATTTGAGAAAGCATGGTTCAGTAAGAAGAGGAATAAATATCAGCCAAAAAAGACTCTGAATCCTCTTTTGGGAAAGGGGAGTGAGTTTTGGTTATACAGAGTATGGTTGAATCCTATTAGGTAGACTCATGATTTTGCCATTGCATTTATTTGGGAGTTTAGTATAATTAAAAGAGGGATATATATTGGACGATGACTTCACAAAAGATAGACTGTGGTGGCTTTGTAAACTGTCAGGTTAGTTGGATCTAAGTTTCTCAGTATTCTCTTCCATGTTCAGTTCTAAGTTAAGATTTGCCACAAGTGAAATTTGCATGGAATTTAAAGTCTAACTGGAATCCAGCAGCCAGAATTACACTCAGACCTGTGTGGGGTCACGCACTGTTGCTGCTCACACAGTTTATGACATTGTGGTGGATCTGCATAGTGCAGCAGCTTGGTTGGCAGCTTCTCAAACTGCCCCTGGATCTCCTCCTTCAGTTTTTCTGAAAGCTGCTCATGTCAGGGGCTGATGTTTTGGCAATTTGTTCAAGCTCTTTTGCAGAACATCATCAAAGTTGGAGGCTTGGAGGTGCTGAGATACCACTGCCAGTTCAGCTGAGAAACAGATATGGATGCCAAGTTTACCTTCACAGGTTCCACTTTGGTCCTGCCCTCCTCATTCCTTCCTAGTCTTACAGACTTCAAGCCCAGCTCCAGTTCTAGGGGTAGCAGGCTCACATAGCTTAACTGGCTCTCTCAATTGTGTAAGGGGTATTCCAGCAATAAATTCTTAACATTGCTTGTAGTGGTTCAGCTTCTCTGATCAAATTCTAAAAGATTCAAGAAGAATTTTTATTGTATGCTGTTTTAAAAAGAAAAAGTGAAAGATAATCTAAAAGTTAGTGAAAATAGTTACTCTGTAGACAGAGAATAATAAGAAAGAGAAAATGCAGACTTTGAAACTCTGAAAGTATTTTAGTTCATAGTTTTGACTTTCAAATCACGTAAATATGTTTCATGAATTAATAACCCAAATTAAAAGCAAAAAAGCCAAAGTATTCTGTTATAATGGAACAGTATATAAAAAGTGTGTGTATGTATATACATATAAAAACACATGTATATATACACACATATATAGTATATTCAAAGAATATAGTATAAATTCATATCTAAGCAGTTTCTATAGTATATAAAATATGCAAAATTTGCCAGGCGTGGTGGCTAATGCATGTAATCCTAGCACTTTGGGAAGCCAAGGCAGGCGGATTACCTGAGGTCGGGAGTTCAAGACCAGCCTGACCAACATGGAGAAACCCTATCTCTACTAAAAATACAAAATTAGCCAGGTGTGGTGGCACATACCTGTAATCCCAGCTACTCAGGAGGCTGAGGCAGGGGAATCACTTGAGCCCAGGGGGTGGAGGTTGCGGTGACCCGTGATTGTGCCATTGTACTCTAGCCTGGGAAACAAGAGCGAAACTCTGTCTCAAAAAATAAATAAATAAATAAATAAATAAATAAATAAATAAATAAATAAAATATGTAAAATTGATGAAATAAACAGACATAGAACTGTTCTTTCAAATGACCTTAAAAAACACAATGCTTTGATTCAAAAGGTGGACGTACATATTCCTCAGTTTGGGATATTAAAAAAAATTTGGAAGTACATATTCTGAAATATAAAAAAGAAAAATCAGATCTGTTTTTATTTTAATTAAAATGTAAATAATTTTATTTTGAAACTATATAATACACATATATAAACTTATGCAAAGGTGAAATGTGGCTTTCTATCTTGATCAAGATTTTCATGTAATATTAAAGGATAATGAAAGATTTTTGTTTGCCTCTTGAATAAACTCATGAAATAGAAGGAAAAGACAAGAGATAGATTGTTTGGAAAGCTAAGTCTTCCGTCTATCAATGAGTAAATGTTTTTGCCTGTGTAAAACTTTTGAGTTATCATTTTGGCTAAATGAATGACTTATTGTGACGTGGAATTCTATTTTATAATGTCAAGTGTTTTAAACCTTTAACGTATTTGATAGGCTTCCCAAAATCAAATTTCAACTTTAAAGTGGTCTTTTCTGACCTCTAACTTTGGTACAATACAGAGGGCCCCTGAAGCATCCAAAAGAGAGATAAACAGGATTATTTGGCATGTTAAGTTACATGGAAGCATTGTCAAAATAAAAAATAATGCTTAATCTTCTTCAGGTTATATTTTAGTCAATGATATTAATATATGTTCCAAAATTGTATGGAATTTCTAATAATAAAACCTTATAGACAAATCAATTTAATATTAATCAGTTTGGCCATAGGTGAGAGTCTCACAAACCCTTTATAATCCTTTACAGATCTTTGTTTAAGAGCGGATCAGTGCTCTAAGAAAACCCTGTTATGCTGTTATTCCAACATTCAATTCCTGGGAAAACTTAACAATACCCTTTAAATTTAGCCAATATGTTCACACACAGAATTTTTTTACAAGATTATTTTTTCAAAAATCTTCCTCAACTTGCTTAAACCTTCAGCTTTATCCTAATTTAAAACAATCCTTTAACCCTCTAAACTAGGCAAAAATGTATATTCCCGTGCCTTATAGTCTTTCACTAAAAGCACATTTTGCTTTCCTCACACACCTTGCATGTAAAACTGTTTTTTTCGGTGGTCTCAATTATATGTTACAATGTTAACTCTTAGCAATTTTTATTTTTGGTGAAAAACCTAGTAAGTGATTTTAATTATCTATTAGGTGTGGAGCCTAAGACACCAGACAAAAGTGCAGATAAAGTCTGACTCTTTCCAGCATAACCAAGGGGATTGGCTAACTCTACATGTCTCTAGGCCTTACCTAGAATCTAATAGCTCCAAAGCAGTTAAGTTGAAAATTTTTCCAAAGTCAAAGAAGCAGCTTATTACCTTAAAGCATTTAGTAAACCTAATATTTGACCTGCCTAATTTAGACCAAGTGTCTTTATTTTACCAATAATCTTTAAAATTCTTTATTTCTCAAAGCTTACTAAAGTCACGTGAACTAAAAGGCATTACAGTTTTTATTTTTCTGACAATATATTTAAGTGCTTATTACTTTCAAGCCAATTAATAAGAGCTCTTTCATATCTAAACTTTATACATATAACACATATGAATACACAGAAAGACAAAAGGAGATCCAATAGTTGTAAGATTTTTTATTGGTCAGTTTTTAAATTTCTTAATCCAGTTACTGGCTTCAGGGTAGTCTTCAGAGGAACAGGGCTAGGAAAACATGCAGTTTCTAGGGCCTAATAAGCAGGCACAGCTGTAAGGCAAAACTGTACCCTTGAAATTCAGGGTAGCATTTTTATACTGGATCCTGGCCCCAAAAGAGAAAGGCTATGGAACAAGACAGTGCAATGATTTCACCCTGCATTTCATTGCAAAGCAACTCAAAGCTGATCAGCCCATTCTGTGATTAACCCATCCCCACAGAAGTCTTATCACAGTGAGGGGTGGAGACATTTCCATATTTTCTAGGTGACCAAGAGCATGCTTCTCTGATCGAAACGTGCAAAGAAATGAGTATTTCCCCATAACTGCCATTTGTCATCCCTAAATGTGTATTTGCCTTAGATTTCGAGAGGGATCTATCTGCTTTCAATTCCTTGGGTTTCACAAGGAAAACAGAAGTTTTTCCCAAAACAGGCTCTATGGCGTTTCCTCTGTTTTTCCCAAGGAATCCAGGCTGTTAAAACTTGAAAGTTCACTTTTAATTAAGCTGGCTTTTAACCATAACACTCTTTAAAAAATATTTTAAATCTCTAATTATCCAACTTTAGCCAGGCCAAATGGCTAATATTTCTGGCTGTTGAACTTTACTAAAGGTAACCTCCCAGATGCTCAAAAGAAAGGAAAATTCAAGAAGGGAAGCCAGAAGTTGTATATGGAGGGGAAGAGTATCAAGAAATGGAAAAAGTCACACAGATATCACCCAGAAAGCACTTATACCCTAAGCCAAGATTGAACCTGGGCTGCCATTGTAAAATGGCAAAGCCTTAGCTTCTGAGATGAAGCATGGGGTGGTTTCCATTGCTCTTCCCATAAGGAGCATAGAGCAGTCAATTTTGAGCTTGCAATGGCTTTTAACTGATCTAGATAATTTTTAGAGCTATCTATGGCATGAGCCCCCAAATTCCTGTTTCCTGGATGTTAGAGACCAAGAGAAATTACCGTCACGTGGTTACAAGGTCAAGCCCCCAAAGACATAAAACAAAACAGGATGGAAACCTCATCCAGTTTTGTTTGTCTGTTTTGTTACCGGCCAGCTTGCTGAGCTGTCTTGAGCAGCCAGATTATGGAGCCTAGGCCTGCATTCCACCCTGTGGTACACCTTTTCATGACAGAAGGATGTAGAAAGACCAGGTCATAGCGTAAAGTACACCAGATTTGCTACAGCTTCAGACTAGCCTCACAAATCCTTTTTCTCATTAATTAAAACTTTGTAAGAGATAGTAATTTTTACTAGTCCTACAATCACTTTGCACAGAGGAAAGGGAAGGGAGAAAAGCATTGCCTGCAGCAGGCTGGGGAAGAGGAAGAGCTCAGGGAGGCCAGAGAAAGACCCACCCTTTGCAACAACACGGAATCAGAAGTTCAGGCAGCCGCTTGTCAGTTGCAAAGGGATCTTTTCCAGGAGTCCCATTGGCTCTCAAGTTTCTCCCTTTGAGGAGAAAAAACTCCTCATGTCCTGTGATCCCATGCATACCTAATCCTGTCACCCACAACCATCAGCAAAGAGTGCAAGGCAGATTAATCCAAAGAGAATAGCAGTTAACATGCCATAGTGCCAAATCAATTTTTAACCAAGAGGGACTTTTCTCGGGGAAGGGTATCTAACCCAATCCCATCCTTTACCCAGGTAAAATGTACCCCATTAGTTATTCAAAGTCAGCCAATTGGTGCTGCCGTCTATATCCTTGAATCAGGATAGTAACTAAGCTAAAAGGTTAGCAGATTTAATGTTTTTAATCAATTAGTCATTTATGCTTTTTATTTGCGTTTTGTAAAGTCTTTAAATAAAAATATTGAAATTTTCTTAGATGTTTCTGCATATCAATAGGCATCCCTAGATGAGACTAATTTGGGAGCCCTCATTTTTAAATGCATGTCTGTGCAGTGTTGTTCATTTGGAACATTCCACTGTAAGTTATCTTTAGTAAGATTTCACCATTTCTGTAAGAGTTTGCTGCTTAGTTCTTCAGAAATTAAGGACCTCATTTTTAGCTCAAATATTGGCTTTACTCTCAAGTTTCCTGGATCAACTTAGCCAGTGATTTTTTCCTATCTAAGTACATAAGACAAGTGAAACAAATGAATAGGACACAAAAATTCCGGTGAATTCCCAAAAGCCAAAATTTATACCCCCTGCAATATTGGCATTTATTATCAGTTTTTTTCTAACCCAGACAGATGTAAGAGGCCTCTAGTTGGATCCAAGCCAGTTAATTACTGGATCCAATCCAATCCTGGACCCACTCTAGTTTCTGTCATGACTCCTAAACCCAGTTTGAATCAGAAATTTGCTCAAAGAAACTCAGAGGTCTCAAAACACAAATCCGTGGAGCTTCAGAATATGAGAGAGAACTTACCACGATCCCCAGCTGCTCCAAGAGAGCAATGGGCACAATGGGCCGAGTGGGAACCACGCTCAGCGCTCCTGGGGGTTGTTAGCTCTTCTTTGGATTCCACTTCTGACACCATCTGACAAAAGAAAAACTTCAGCTGAATTAAAATTAAAGGAGTTCACTTGAGCATGGACAATTCATAAATTGGGCAGCCTCCTGAGCCAAAACAGGCTCTGAGACCCCAGCACAGCCACGTGATGAAAAAAGATTTATGGACAGAAAAGGAAAGTAACATAAAGAAAATAGAAGTGAGGTAGAGAAACAGCCGGATTAGTTACAGCTATGTGTTTGCCTTATTTGAACACGGTTCAAACAGTTGGCTGCCTTTGATTAACCAAAACTTGGTTATTTGCACAAGTGTAGCTTATGGTCTGTTTACACCTCCACCTGTTATAGTTTACAATGTACAGAGAAATTTTAGGCAGAACTTAAAATATGTAAGGAGGCAGATTTAGGCTAAACTTGATTTAACAAGTCCTAGAAGCAAGGAGCAGCCCTTATGCCCAGACTGTCATCTCTAAATGTAACCTTTCAGTGTAAAGAACCAGGACTCCTTGGACAAATGGCTAATCCAGAGTCTGGAGTAGAAAATGTGCAAGATGAAATATCCTGTTGTATTTGAAAGCAAGAAATCCATCTAAAAAAAGGGGGCACTACAAGCCACTGATCAAATACGGGAGAGCTTGAGAATCACCAGTAATAATGACTGCCATGGACTGAAACCATAAACTATGTTAACATCTATGGGTGCCTAAAACACAAGGAAAATAAAACAGACAAACAAAACAGAGCACAAATTATAGGTCTCCTTAGGGGTTTACTAAGGTACAAACTAATTATTTTAAAAATCAAAAAATAAAAAAAATGAGAAAGAACCAAGCATTTATTTAGCCTTTCTTCAATCAAGTTTCAGAGTCACAAAACTGTTGATGAAGAAAGATCTTCATGGAAGAATCAAATCAAAGCAAGTAAATGCAGGAGAATGCTAAAACTAGAAGGCCACTTTTTTGCAATATCTAATTGATATAGTTTGGATTTGTGTCCCCACCCAAATTTCATGTTTAATTATAACCCTCATATGTCTGGGGAGGAGACTAGTGGGAGGTGATTGGATCATGGGGGCAGATTTCCCCTTGCTGTTTTAGTGATAGTGAGTTCTAATGAGATCTAATGGTTTAAAACTGTGGCACTTTCCCCTTTGCTGTTTCTCTCTCTCACCTGCTCTACCATGGTGAAATGTGCCTTGCTTCACCTTCATCTTCTGCCATGATTATATAAGTTTCCTGAGGCCTCCCCAGTCATGTGGAACTGTGAGTCAATTAAATTTCTGTTCTTTATAAATTATCCAGTCTCAGATAGTTCTTAACAGCAGTGTGAGAACAGACTAATACAGAAAATTGGTACTGGGAGTGGGGCACTGCTATAAAGATACCTGAAAATGTGAAAGAAACTTTGGAACTGGGTAACAGGCAGTGATTGGGACAGTTTGGAGGGCTGAGAAGAAGACAGAAAGATGAGTGAAAGTTTGGAACTTCCTAGAGACTTGTTGAATGACCAAATTGCTGATAGTGATATGGATAGTGAAGTCCAGGCTGAGGTGGTCTCAGATGGAGATGACGAACTTATTGGGAACTAGAGTAAAGGTCACTCCCTCTATGCTTTAGCAAAGAGACTGGCAGCATTTTTCCCCTGACGTAGAGATCGGTGGAACTTTGTACTTGAGATAAATGATTTAGGGTATCTGGCGAAAGACATTTCTAAACAGCAAAGAACTCAAGAAGTGACCTGGCTGTTTCTAAAATTGTATGCTTATATGTATGAACAAAGAGATTATGTGAAACTGGAACTTATATTTAAAAGGGAAGCGGAGCATAAAAGTTTGGAAAATTTGCAGCTCAGCTATGTGGTGGAAAAGAAAAGCCAATTTTCTAGGTAGAAATTCAATCCAGCTACAGAAACTTGCATAAGTAATGAGCAGCTGAAGGTCAATAGCCAAAACAATGGGGAAAATATCTCCAGGGTATTTCAGAGATTTTCACCCATTATAGTCCGAGATACCTAGGAGAATAAAAGTGGTTTTGTGTACTGGGTCTCAGGGCCCTCTGCTGTATGCAGCCTCAGGACATGGCACCTGCATCCCAGCCACTTCAGCTCTAGCCATGGCTAAAAGGGGCAAAGATACAGCTCAGACCATGGCTTCAGAGGGAGCAAGCCCCAAGCCTTGGCAGCTTCCATGTGGTGTTGGAGCTTCAGGTTTGCAGAAAGCAAGAACTGAGTTTTGGGAACCTCTGGCTAGATTTCAGAGGATGTATGGAAATGCCTGTATGTCCAGGCATTTCCTCTGCTGCATGGGCGGAGCCCTCATGGAGAACCTCTAATAGGGAAAAGCAGAAGGGAAATGTGGGATTGGAGCCCACACACAGAGTCCACAGAGTCCTCACTGGGACACTGCCTGGTGAAGCTGTGAGAAGAGAGCCACCGTCCTCCAAACCCCAGAAGGGTAGATCTACTGACAGCTTGCACCTGCCTAAGAACTTGAGAGTCTACCCTTTATATCAGCGTGGCCTGGATGTGAGATGTGGAGTCAAAGGAGATTTTGCAGCTTTAAGATTTAATGTCTGGCCTGCCTGGTTTTGTACTTCCATGGAGCCTGTAGCCCCTTTGTTTTGGCCAATTTCTCCCTTTTGGAATGGGAGCATTTATTTAATGCCTGTTTCCCCAAGTTAGTTACCTCTAAGTATCTAAGTTGTTTTTGACTTTATAGCCTCATAGGCAGAGGGACTTGCCTTGTCTCAGATGAGCCTTTGGACTTGGACTTTTGAGTTAATGCTAGAATGAGTTAAGACTTTGGGGGACTGTTGGGAAGGCATGATTGGTTTTGAAATGTGAGGAGGACATGAGATTTTCGAGGGGCCCAGGCTAGAATGATATGGTTTGGATTTGAGTCCCCACCCAAATCTCATGTCAAATTGTGATCCCCACATATCAGGGGAGGGGACTGGTAGGAAGTGATTGAACCATGGGGACAGATTTCCCCCTTATTCTCACGACAGATGAATTAGTTCTCACGAGATCTGATCGTTTAACAGCTTGGCACTTCCTCCTTCTCTCTCTCTCTCTCTCTCTCTCTCTCTCTCTCTCCTGCTTTGCCATTGTGAAGATGTGCATGCTCCCACTTCACCATCTGCTGTGACTGTAAGTATCCTGAGGCCTCCAGTCATGCTTCCTATTAAGCCTGTGGAACTGTGAGTCAATTAATTCTCTTTATTTTTTTTTAAAGTAAATCACTCAGTCTACAGTAGTTCTTTATAACAGTGTCAGAATGGACTAATACACGAATCAAATAATGTCTCTAGACAATTACATCAACAAATGCTAAATCCTTTAGGTGAATATTTGAAATGCTAAATCCCTTAGGTGAATATTTGAAACTCTGTAAGAGTTGAATGACATTAAAGATTTCTATTACTGTTACTATTGATGAATCTTTATAATTCTAAAGTTAAACAATCAGATACAATGTATCTCTTTGTAGAATGCAGCGAGATGCTTAATTGAATGTTCGTTAGCTACCTATTTACAGAAAATTCAGAAACACAATAAGAGAGAGAAACATGTTAAACAATACCAAAGGGACATAACCTATCCAATTCAGAATGTGTTGAAATTTTTACAGGACAAATGGCCCACTTTTGTAAACATATAAATAGGAGAGAGTGTATGAGTGAGAGAGAATGAGAATGAACAATTATATCATTAAAAGTGATATAAGAGACATATCAGCCAAATGCCATATGTGGGTAGACCTTGTTTGGACCACAGTCTTGATAAACCAACTGTAAAAAGATGTATCAGATATTGCTATAAAATTTTTCTTAATTATATTGTCATAATATATATAAAATTTCCTTATCTGTTATATATATTACTTGAAGTATTTATAGGGAAAGCTATGTGATATCTAGAATTTGCTTTAAAATACTCCAGAAAAACATAATGTATTATGAGGATTGATAAAACATTTAGGACAGAAAGTTGATCATTATTGAAACTTGGTTAAGGGCACATGGGAGTTTATTTGATTAGTCTCTCTACTTCTACATATATTTGCAAATGTCCATAATAAAAAGCTGTGCATTTGTAAAAAAAAAAAAAAAGAAAGAAACACACACACACCACACACACACACACACAATGGTATATTTCAGTTTCTAAAAAAATCGATATAAAATTATTGCTGAAGAAATAATTCTTTTAGGAGCTATCTAATTAAAGGCTTTCGGAAAACCTGAAAATTGCATGGTTCCTTATTTCTCTTTCTTTATTATCATATCATAAAAATGGTATGTATGTCACTCTATAGTGAAAGTTTGGAATAAGGAGGATGTTGCACTTGAAATGAGAATAGAACTCAGCAATAATATTTCTAATATGTGTCCAATGTACAGTTACTTTAAAGGAGGGCAAAACATTCTTCTAGTTCAAGATATTGTTTCTAAAATTCATATTTTATAACAAACTATAAAATGAAAGACTTTTGCTTTATCTTACTTTTCAAATATCTTTTAAAAACTTACTCGTGAACACTCCTTATTTTTCAGGTATAACGCTACAGTTAATTTTGTTTTCTGTTTTGGCAAAAAAATCAGATTTTGACTATTTCCCCTTTTTTGGTAATTTCTTTTAGCAATTAATTTCTGAGGATCTGTGTCTTCTTAATGAGTACATTTTATCTCATGAGTTTGAAACTGCCTTTGCAAAAGCTGTATCAGTGAGAAAACTATAACAGTAAACTAAGCTAACCCAACCCCCATCTTGCCTTTTCCTTAATTATTCCCGGGCTATTGGGCCAAGCCAACTTTGGCAGACATTTAAGCTACAATTTAAATGATAGTAGGCTTTGCCAACAACTCAGCCACTTTTGTAAAACCAATAGGAGGCCACCAGGCTGAAGGGAGGAGAGGAGCCTTAGTCCTGATAAGGTCAGCTATTATTTTAGAGGTTATAAAATATGCAACTTCCTCAATTACTCCTGCAAATAGCACCACTATTGTAGATTGGCCTTTTGAGATATCTTTTCAGGTTTTTTGTATGTCTGACTCCCAGGGCTCCACCTGGACCCACAACACCCCCCGCCAAACCCCCACTCCTGTGGCCCCACCTAGAAGCAATTCCACTTGCAGGAGAACAGTTTCAACCCCCTGTGATTTCATCTCTGCCCCAACATATCAGCAGCAAGCACCTGTTACCTGGCCACTCGCACCCTTCCCCACAAACTGCCCTTGAAAAACCTCTAACCCAGGAGCTTTGAAGGTGATGATTTGAGTACAAACTCCTTCTCTTACATGTGGCATGGCCATCCTCGTCTATTAAACTCTTTCTCTACTACAGTGCCATGGTCTTTCTTTATGCAGAAGTAGGAATAACCTCTCAGGTGGTTACAAGCTTAGAATACTTGGAATATTCTATAACGATTTCAAGATTGATTGAATTTGGGAAACTCTTCCTAAAATTCCAAGTTGCCACTTTATATGTGACAGGTAATGGGAGACCAGATCAAACTTCCTAACAGAGCCAACTGCAAACCCATTTTTCTAAAAAAAGACTGTATCCTAATGATTTATTTTTAAGTACAGGATTCGTGCCTTGCTAATTGCTCTTTTTGTTCTCCAACCAACCTGAAAACATTGTACTTAATGGGTGGGCAATTAATGAATGAATAAACTAGTATGGGAAAAATTAGCAATCAGAATGCGTAGTACAGCTCTAAAAGGTTAAGCAACTAACAGTTAAAAGAAAGAAATGCTGAAAAAGTGAAGCACTAATCACTAGAGCCACATCAGGGAATGTTTTCCAAGGCAGTTGCACAAATACAGTATACCCATAGGGGTGGGGCAGTTTTCACCCCGCAAATGTTTGGAAAATACATCCTGTAGGCTTCTGCTTCCTGCTGCAGATCCATAGGGTATATTAATGGCTGGCAAACAATAGCATGCTATGTCTGATTGCTCAAGGCATTATTTTTTTTCTCTAAAGTTTGCATCAAGGAATATTTTTCAAAATGTTTCTAAAGGTCATTTGGAATCTTCTTGAAACTAAGAAAATAATGAGATGCCTGGAAATGCTGAGACACTTGCTTTCTAATTCATAGCTGAAAACACAATAAGCCTTTATGTATATGTCATTTTCAAGACAGCCTTCATTTTCTGCACAGATGCTCACATACCTGAAACTAAGGGTTCAGTATAATCAGGACTGAAATTTTTAGAATATATGGTTCTAAACTCCTATCCTAAAGCATTTTGCATATTTCCAATAATATAACTTCATTCCTGCCACAGGAGATTTCTGATAATTAGAAAACAGTTACTGAAATGCAGAAGATGGCTGGGCTTGGTGGCTTCTGCCTGTACTCCCAACATTTTGGAAGGCTGAGGTGGGAAGACTGCTTGAGGTCACAAAGTCCTCACAAAGGTGCAGCTAACGATTCACCCTATGTTGACTTTAAACATCTCATTCCCAACCGCCCCCCCGCCCCAAGTAAACAGCAATATCGTTTAATGTAAAATTCCCTGCAAGCAATGCTTTTCAATTCTAATGAAATCAGTAAAGATGATGCAGATGATTAAAAGAATGATTTTGCTTCCATTTGTGAAGTATATTTACTTATGAGCAATTAAGTATGTGCTATTTACTGCTTATAAATTAACAGAAAATATTTACTGTGCTAGCTTACAATTATCAAAAAAAACCCCAAAAGTTTGACTTAATAAATTTGACCCTGTTAAAAATTGTGTCAAAGTATTCCATTCTGAGGAAAGTGTGAGAGGGAAGACATAAAAGCAACTTTAGAGCTGAGATGAACCACTGAGCTAATTTCATCTACCCTCTTACTTTTTTACAAGAGGAAACAGGAGTTCCAGAGAGGGGAATTTATTTGTTCAAAGCAATTAGTCTCAATATAGGGACTGGAACCCCTTAAATAAGGAAAACAGAAAAACAGTAAGGTTGAGAGAAGGTGGGTGTATTAACATCTCTTAGGGCATATAAATCTGGCTTTCCAACTTGGGTAGAGCAGTAGCCATTCCTCTCCTCTTCAATTTGCATTTCTTCCTTCTCTGTATATTTACTCTTTATGCCATTTCTAAATGCATGGGAAATGCAAGAGGTGAAAAAGGATTGAGGCAGGGGCACTTAGATCCAAGGGGATACAGGGTTATTTGAGCTGATTAATTTAGGTTGGACCTGCTCTGTCAGTATTCACAGTAAACACTAATTCCTCTGTGCAAATAAGAACATAAGATGGGCAAGACATAACGTAGATAACAGCTTCCTATGGATCAGATGCTGTTCCAAAGCCCTTTACATGGATAATTTCATTTAAACTGCTAAACTCTATGAAGCACTTAGCATACATGATAAAAGAAAAGCACATAAAATTTTAATTAAATTACACAAATCACCTACGTAATTAATGATTGAGTCAGAACTTCAACCCAAACCAGGTGATTCTAAAGACAGTACTCTTGGCAATTATTCCATGCCAGATCTAAAAATTATGCCAATTCTATCATTAAATATTGTACTCATAGTATTTCTATTATTTGGGTTAATAATTTCAACCACACGCAGCATGTATTTTAACATAATTCATAAGAAGTAAATGTCACTGATAGGATCTTTAGTTCCTTTGTCTTGGAGGTGGGAGGTGATTCCTGTGGAAATGAAATTCATCAGTCTATTCAACAAATAGTGCCTGTTTTACATATAACACATCAGGCATGGAGATACAATGGGAAGGAAGAGAGATAGACAGAAGACAGAGGGTATGATGAAGAATCAGTGACAATTAAAAATCCAAGATAATTTTACCGATTTATGTTATATTGAGATAATTTTCATAAAGTAGAAGTAGAAGAGATGGTAATGTGAATAAAAAAGAAAACAAGGTAATCTCTAGAAGCTGAATTATGAAGAATAATTTCCAAGTAATATTGAGTGCTGCAAACAGTGAATGTTGAAATCTCCATTCTTCAATATTGATTAGAGTAGAAGGAAGACAAAAACTCTTTTTGAAGGTACAATCTTCAGGGAGATTTCACTGGGACAGTTAGTAAGTAGAAAAAGAACGTCTCTTTCTTTAGCTCTCAAAAGGACATTTTACCCATTTTTATTTCTTACTCTTCCCTGAACTAACAATGAAAAGGTCAAGAAAATTTTTTTAAACCTCTGCTATACACCTATAAGAAGTTTCTACAGCATTTGTTAAGGAATGACAACATGCTTAACAGACAGTATGACCTTCTAGAACATACAGCATGAAATGTGATTTTAAAACTTTTTTTCTCCCAAGATAAATCACAATACTAGAGGGGGAAATGAAACTTCCTATTAACCCTAAACTGGGCAACAGCAGGGAACTTGGCACTGATTTTCATTTACCTTATTCCTCTAACCCAGTGTACTTTTCCTTCATCAAATTGGAAGTAAACATGTTCATGTTCATGTAATCTCCATATAAAGTTGATTGAGAACTTCTGGGCTGTTTTCTAAAAAGATCTGTGTACATGTCCATACTAGCACATTAGATTTAGATAGAAAAAAAACTGCTACATTAATTCTCTTTGTTCTATTCTAGGACAACACATGTAATTATCCTTTAACTAAAGCTTGCTGAGGAGGGTGACTCATATTCAAATATGTCTCTGCTTCCAGAGTGCAGCAGTGAAAAGAGTGATTATCACCTCCAGTCTCTGCCTACTGCTTTAAATCTCAGCTCCCAAAAAGTGGAGGAACTTAAAATTTTCTCTTTCTTTTAGTCCTTTGGGATTAATTCATTGTTAATTTAATCTTTATAAAAGAAACCATCCTTAAGGATATAGAATTGGACTCATTTGCTGTGATTTGATTGGTACTGAATGGCAATTGGGCTTTAATACAAAAAAAAAAAAAAAAAGAAGAAGGAAATTCTAACAGTCTGTGTCATGCACAAGGTTTTCACATTTAACACAGCTCCTGTACATGGCAGGCGCTTCACAAATATTTGTTTAATTAATTGATGAATCCCTTTCGGTCCAATGGTTCAGAAGTACCCTATCAAAGTGCAACTAGAGCAAGTTAAAATCAAGGCCCTTAGTGAACTGATCAGGTTAGGCCTCTATAGGGGCAACGGAAGGTGAGCTGAGCCCTTCAAGGTTATCCACAGGCCAGTGAATTCAGAAGAGAAGATGTCAACGATGAAACACTCTCAAATTAACTGCTTTGCACAGCACCTTGGATAGAAGGCCATAAAACCATAAAATTATGTCTGTGAACCTTATAAATTATAATTATTTTTTGACGATGCTGGTTTTAATATTATATAAACAGGAACTGTGCCAATGATGAAATTACTGCTCTGAGAACAACACTGGCAGTGAGTTATTAGAAATGACAGTTGAGGGCTGGGCGTGGTGGCTCACACCTGTAATCCTATTGCTTTGGGAGGCAGAGGCAGGTGGATCACGAGGTCAGGGGTTTGAGACCAGCCTGGCCAATATGGTGAAACCCCGTCTCTACTAAAAATACAAAAATTAGCTGGGCATGGTGGGCCACTCCTGTAGTCCCAGCAGCTTGGGAGGTGGAAGTTGCAGTGACCCAGGATCATGCCACTGCACTCCAGCCTGGGCAACAGAACGAGACTCTGTCTCAAAAAAAAAAAATAGAAAGAAAGAAATGACAGTTGATGATCTGATTATCTCAGGGACAAAATAGAAAGTTATTGTGTTTAAGGCACTGCAGAGAATACAAAGAAATACAAGGAGACAAGAGGGCTTCTCCCCTGTGTAATGTACATTACCTTATTTAATGCTTGATAACAACACTCAAAATGGGTGCTATTTGCCCTTATATTACAGATGGGCAGATGAGGCTCAGACAGGTTAATTACCTTGTTTGAAGTAACATAAATAGCAAGAAAATGAACTAACAAGCCAGATGCACATTCTTTATTATTCTACTCTGAAAACCCACACTAAGCACCAATACCCTTGTAGATATCTGAGTACAGAGAAAATCCAAGGACTGTGCCATGTATTAGCAGCATCTAGGCACATAATAGGCTTACCTAAGAAGTTAGTGAATGAGGATGAGAAGCACATTTTACAAATTGGTTTTTGAAATACTTTTCACCGGTTTGTGTTACTGAGTTAGTACTATCAGAATACTCCTCCTCCAGTTTTGCCTAAATTAGCTGAATGGTTACTTTCATCTCTAGTTTCATATCACCTGAAACGATTTGGTTCATTATTTTGTCATTATGGAATCTGCATACTTTAGCTACCAAGGAATGAACTGTTTAAGGTCAAATTTAAAAATTATCTTCTTATGCTCTGATATGGTTTGCTATGTTCCCACCGAAATCTCATCTTGAATTATAGCTTCCATAATTCCCACCTGTTGTGGGAGAGACCCAGTGGGAGGTAATTGAATCATGGGGGCGGGTCTTTCCCATGCTGTTCTCGTGATAGAGAACAAGTCTCACAAGATCTGATGGTTTTATAAAGGGGAGTTCCCCTGCACAAACTCTCTTGCCTGCTGCCATGTAAGATAGGACTTTGCTTCTCATTCGCCTTCTGCCATGATTGTGAGGCCTCCCCAGACATGTGGAACTGTGAGTCAATTAAACCTCCTTTCCTTTATAAATTACCCAGTCTCGAGTATGTTTTTCCTAGCAGCCTGATAGCAGACTAACACATGCTCTATCCTTTAAACAATTTTGGGTTTGAATTTGCAGACACAGAAACCAAGTTTTGTTATTTCCAAAGTTACACAAGAGCATGAAATGCAGTCTTTGAAAGACAAAACTAAAAAGAAAATGCATTCTCACTCTCAGAACATTCTCAAGTTTATTAATACTTCCCATAGCAAGCTGAAACTATGATTTCAAATGCCCTTGAGGAAGTTTGTTTAAAAAGCAGGAAAGGGGGTGTGGACTTTGGGCTATTTTTATGCCTCCCTAGAAATTCTCTATGGTTTTCTCACAAAGTGCTGATAACGATGGCACTACTAATTTCTTTCTAGTTTATGAATTTATTCGTCTCTGCAGGATGCTATATTGAATTTTTGGAGAGAAAGTGAAACATGTCTGGGTCTAAGCAAGAAGTGAATATCTGCTTGGAGATTCTGTACAAGATGGTGGGGCTAGAGAAGCAACCTAGAAAGCAGGTGGGTTGACTTGTTACCTGAAGTACTTCATGATTCCTAGCGAGGGGAGGGCATTAACGAATGATACCTGGGAAGTTTGCTACTGAAAATATTTGAGTTTATAAAGAGAGAAAAAGAGTACACTAAGAATTTACCTTCCAACTCAGCATGCTGAATCACCTTTTTAAAAATGCAGCTATCGATAAAGAGTTACATGCTTTGTGCATAGGTAGGAGGAAATTCAGAGCACACACTGAAGGTGAAAATCCCATTCTAACTCTTACTAACTGGACCACCTTGAGAAGTTACTTAGTCTCTTCAGGCCTCAGTGTTTTCCTCTGTAAAATGGAGATCGTAATAATACCTACTGCATAAAATTATTTTGAAGGTTAAATTAGATAAATCATGTTTACTAATAACAAAGTCTGGAATATGAGTGCCCAAAAATGATGACGATTATTACATTCTTGTAGAACTCAAATTGTTTATAATTATACCTATGATCTTATTTTTCCTCAAATTGGTACAAAATAAATAGTAACTTCACTTTCTGATATGGTTGCGGAATAAGATTTCATGAAACCAAGAAGGAAGTACTATATTATTTTTTCAAAAACTGTAAAATTAGAACAGAGCAAATAAGGCTTTCTTGCATTGGTGCATTTAAGGTTGTGTTGTTCTACCCTTAAAAGCTAGAGGAAGGCCATGTGCAGTGGCTCACACCTGTAATCTCAACACTTTGGGAGGCTGAGGCTGGTGGATCACTTGAGCCCAGGAGATTGAGACCTGCCTGGGCAACACTGCGAAACTCCATCTCTACAAAAAATACAAAAGTTAGCCAGGGGTGGTGGCATGTGCCTGTAGTCCCAGCTACTCAGGAGGCTGAGGTGGGAGGATCGCTTGAGCCCAGGAAATAGATGCTACAGTGAGCCGAAAACTTTTTTTCAAGATAAATCACAATACTAGAGGGGAAAATAAAACTTCCTATTAACCCTAAAATGGGAAACAGCAGGGAACTTGGCCCTGATTTTTATTTATATCACTATCACCTGGACGGCTAGTGAAACCTTGTCAAAAAAACAAACAAACAAAAAACAATGGAAGAAGGACTAAATAACCCCCTCTTGTTATATTTGATAGTAATGTTTAGTAAACTGTGAATAAGTGACTTCTCAGGGTCACAGAAACTTAATAACAGGTGAAGACAAAAGCCTCATGTATGTTAAATCCCCAAGGTCAAGTCTGTATTTTTATTTTTACGTTGCTCTTTCTACTTCTTGACAGTTGGCTTTTTAAATACACTAATGAAATTTTGAGGCTAAGAATACTTCAGATTGTACTATATACTTATTGGGAATTATCTGTCACTACACGTAATGGCAACACAGATGATAAATAATAGGGCTCGCGATCTTTGGGGCGCTGCAGGTGTATGAGCCAGACTAGTGCTGTATGCATTGAGTATCAGGCTGAGACTCTAAACCCAACAGACTTCACAACAGGGGGAAAACGTGCATTTAATATAAAAGATAGGACTGTAAGCAAAATTTGTAAGATTGCGTCTGCCACTTTAAAAACATTTTACTTCTCCCTATCCTTGTGATTATGGCCTTGCACCTTTTATGTGATTGTAAAGATCAAACTGGCTGAAAGCTGAGCTGCCTCTCTTGCCATGGATTTTTATTTTCAAATTACAGAGGTTATAATGTGTTATTTAGTCATCTTGGCTTGAGTTAATGTTGAATTAATCTTACCTGGTTAACTCACTTAACGTTTCAGACTTCTCTCTTCCTGTCACCTCTTAGGGATTTCGTGCTTGGTCCCCAGTCAAGGTCGGGTATCTTGCTCTAAGTGCCCCTCTCCATCAGTGAACAAACTCGGATCCTTTTCTTTCAGGGAACTTTTCTTCACTAGTAATTCACATTTGTTACTGTGGTTACTTCATTAATGTTCAACTACCCATTAAACTATAATTTCTGTCAGAGCATTAACTGTGTTCCTTGGCTCACAAATATTTCCCCAGTGCATTATAGTGCTGGGCACCAAGTAGACACCCAGCAAGTATTTGATGAATGAACACTTGCTTTGGATTTGATGGAGACATAACTCCTGGGTTCATCATAAATAATTTACCCATGTTCATTTTGAGAGAAAAGTTTATATGGAAATAGTATTGGTTCTATGTTTTAGTCTTCAGGAAACTTCTCATCAATGAAATGTCTCACCCCTTTCATCTAAAAATAGATCTTTTATTTTGGGTACAGGATGTCACTGAGTTTGTGTTTATAGTGGTACTCAACAAATGGATAAACCAATAAATTGAAGTGACAGACTGGTGATTAGCCACCAGTCGTTTGGTCACGGTTAAAAACTTATGCGATACTAGAAGTTGCCTCATGAGTTTTGTGTGTAAGTGCAGTCCTATTACAGCCTAATGTACTCTGCCCACAGTTCCATGGAGAACATCTTGATGACTCAACCAGACATAGATATCTGAGAAATAGTAGTGCTAGCAGAAAATCAATGATCTATGCACTGCCTATGAAATGTGAGCTCTTAAATATCTTTGTTTTTACTGGTTTATTTTGGTAATTTAATTACTCTTTTATCCCAGAAATCTGCTGACTTGACAGCCCCTCAGAAGTTCCAGGGCACAACTAGGAACTCCCCAGTTGTTTCTAGGCCATTACCAAAGTGATACCTCTTGTGTACCTTCAGCTATTTATGTTGGCTTCTGTACCACTGTAGCTTCTTCCCATTCTGCTCTGACTCCCTGTTGGATTATTTTTCCTGTTGGAGAAATTTCACTATTGTGGTGACCTAAATGAGAATGGCACTACCATGCCAAGGGCTGCCCTCCTCACCTTGCCTTCCCCGCCCACCTTCCCCCACTCTCTCTGCACCAGTAGTCAAAACGCTGGAACAGTGTTGATTTCCATGCAGGACTAGGTAGATGTTTGCTCCAACTTCTTGACATACCTTCCTATCTGGGACATGAACTTCCACAGTCTCCAGGGAATCATTCCTTCAGATTTGGCCTATATTCCTACCTATAGACACCCAATTCTATTGAACACATAAGCCAGACATACTGTCCTACACTGACTAAAAAAGGGAGGCTTATGCATGCTAGTATCTTGTCAGTTGTTTTCCTTTACCCCTCCTCCTTTCTGCTACAAAGAAAGAGTGAATGGGATGTAAATACAGAAAATTGGCGCTCAAACAATTGAGTTCTTTAAAATTAATTTTACTGTCTTACCTTAGACAACAGTGCCTGTAGCAAGAATTTTCAGGGGTACCCTAAAAATAGACTAATTTTACCTGTCACTCCCTTTTCTCCTGCTGTTATTTCTCTTCCTTGTTAAAATTGGGACTATCTTAGTGCTCAGTGTTTAACATTGTTCCATGAATCTTTCTGGCTGTCCATGTAGCTGCATATTATTTTTTAGCCTTTAGAAGTGAAACATTCTCTTTCTTCAGTCCTTAGCAAGCTAGGTGTGAATCTGATGTTAATAATTCACAGTAAGCAATAAAGAAGGGTAGATAGTGTCAGGAGACATTTCCATTTGAAACATTTGCTAGCGCAAGTATATTTCAGATAGAAGAATAAGTGAAAATGGTGTTATTGAGAAAAGTCATTTGCTCATTTCTTCTAGGAAGTGACACAGAATCAAAACTTGAATCACACAATCTCCTTGCAAACTAGGATCTCATCATTTCACCTGATTGTGCAACACTGAGGTCATTCAGTAAAGGGAATAAGATGGGTGTTAGTTATGAGGGGTGGGATCCAGTAAAATGTTGTATTTTGAAACCTAGCATCATATTTTTTTTAATATAAAAGCACCAGTGTGAGCAAAGGAAAGTAAATTTGAGCAAAATTTAAAGAAACAAACATCTGGTTATCTTTATCAATTCTTAATTACTAATAACTTTTTATTTTAAGCCTAATTTTCTTTTTTGGGGGGTTTAGTGTTTTTCATACACAGTAAAAAAATGTATATTGTTAAATATTAAATTGCCTTTATACCATCTCTTAAGATTTTCTGTCAATGGAATTGTTTTTACTCAGATTCCCCTGAGGAGTACATCATTTTTATCCTCTAATTGCCGGAGATCCATGATGGAGACCTCGATTTCCATCAGACGGCAAACCTCCTCTCTCATTTTTAGGCTTGGCCATGAAAAAGATGGTTTGGACAGGACCGTGGTAAGTCCATCACTACATTCATACCCCTGTTTTTTTTTTTTTTTTTTTTTAAATCAGCCAGGAAAGCTTTTCTATGGCAACTGAATTTATCCAGTCCTTATATGCATCTATCACAGGTTATAACATGTCCAAATTTGGAGTCAAGAATTATAGCAAAGAGACAGGTAAGAAGAAAAAATCCCCAGGGAGGCTTTCTTTTGTGGGAGGCAGGCCGCCACAGTGCTGAGTATTAGAAACCTTTCAGCCAAGCAGGTGAACTAGAATTGGCAGAGTCCAGCAATAGCTCTTAGTCTAATTAAGAGATTTCTTCAGTGACATTTAAAAAGTGTAAATTCAGTTAATAGGTAATAGGCAACAAACAGTAATAAGAACATTCAGGAATTCAGTCAGGCGGTTAGTTTAAAGAAGAGAAGTGAATAAGCCATAGGAGCTAAGATATTTATTATTTTATTTCATGATTGACAAAATTGTGTATATCATGTACATGTTTTTATTTGAAACATGCATATATTTTGACATGGCTAAATAGAGCTCATTTACATATACATTATCTCACACACTTAACATTTTCTGTGGTGAGAACACTTAAAATTGACTCTCCCCAATTTCCATGAATATATTGTTGTTAACTCTAGTCACAATGTCGCATGATAGACTCCTTGAACTTATTTCTTCAATCTAACTGAAATCTTGTATCCTTTGATCAACATTTCCCTTTCACCACCCCTAGCCTCTTTTACCATTATTCTACTCTCTACTTCAAGTTCAACATTTTTAGATTCCTCATGTGAGATCATGCAACATTTGTCTTTTTGTGCCCGTCTTATTTCTCTCAACATAATGTCCTCCAGGTTCATCTATGTTGTCAAAAATGACAGGATTTTCTTCTTTTTAAAGGCTGAATAGTATTCCATTGTGTATAGATCACATTTTCTTTATCTACTCATCCAGCAACTGACACTTATGTTGTTTCCATATCTTGGCTCTTATGAAGCAATGAGCACAGGAGTGCAAATATCTCTTTAACATAATAAATTCTTTCTTTCTTTCTTTCTTTGGGGTATATACCCAATAGTGGAATTGCTGTATCATGTGGTTGTCCTATTTTTAATATTTTGAGGCGTTTCCATACTGTTATCCATAATGGTTGTTCTAATTTACATTCCCACCAGCAGTGCACAAGGGTTTTCTTTTCTCTATCTATTCTCCAACACTTGTTATTTTTTGTCTTTTTGATGACAGCCATTCTAAGAAGTTTGAAGTGATATGTCATAGTGGCTTTAATTTCCATTTATCTGATGATTAGTTGATGAACATTTCATATACCTGTTGGCCATTTGTGTGTCTTTTCTTGAGTAACATCTATGTGGATTCTTTGCCCATTTGTAAATTGAGTTTTTTGTTTTCTTACTACTGAGTTCAATGAAAGAACTCAGATAGATATACTTTAAAATTTTAATGAAAATTGAACATATAAAAGTATATTTATATACTTTTATATTTTATATTATACACTACATATCCTAAAATATGTCACATGGTCACATAGAAAATATACTGAACTTAGATTTAAATGAGGGGAATTTTATCTTGTTTCCTCCAATTACCATCTACCTGGATAATGGAAAGCATTTCTTTTTCCAGTGTACTTATCTATGAAAGGGGTTTATGTGGCCTGTCTTCCTCATAGGGTTAGTATGAAGCTCAAATGAGAGGATGCAAAAAACATGCATTTAAAATTAAGTACTAAGAAGAGGAGTAAATAAAAAAGTCCAGAACCAGTAATAAGGTGGGTGGCAGGTGTAGTGGAGTAGAGGAAGAAGTCCACAGAAGAAATTCAATTCTATATTCAGATGTAGAGAGAGGTAAGTTAGAGCAGGGCGTCCCCCCATGGTACCAGTCTGGACCATGGCCTGTTAGGAGCCAGGCCACACAGCAGGAGGTGAGCAGCAGGTGAGCGAGCATTACTGCCTGAACTCCACCTTCTGTCAGATCAGCAGTGGCATTAGAATCTCACTGGAGTGCGAATCCTATTGTGAACTGCGAATGTGAGGGATCTAGGTTGTGGCTCCTTATGAGAATCTAACTAATGTCTGATGTTCTGAGGTGGAACAGTTTAATCCTGAAACCATCTCCCCCTACCCATGAACGTGGAAAAATTGTCTTCCATGAAACCATTCCTTGGTGCCAAAAAGGTAGGGGACTGCTGGGTTAGAGAGATGTGATGAAAAAGATAAGCCTACAGGAACATTCTTTTGTTGCCTTGGGAGATGAAACCCAGATTATAATCACCTCTTCTCATTGTCCTGAAAATGTGAACCAATTAATCCTGGATTTCAGTACTTCATCTACTCTGTACTCTTAAAACATAATTAATGTCTCTAGATTAGTTAGAGCAATCCACATGAAGTGAAACTATTTTCTGGATGGTTGTATTAACACATAGACCACTGTAACACTGTAGACCTATAATAAATAAAATGAAGTTTCTTGAAGTCAGGTTGTTTAATCTTTATCTGTGCACATATTTTCCCTCAGAGGATGAAAGAAACAAGCAACTACTGGGTGCCCACCCACCTTAGGTCAGGAAGTGTGCCTATCTCAGTGAGTCCTCATGCCCAATTCATAAGGAAGGTCTGTTAACATAGGGGAAGATGAAGGTCTGTTGAGGTTAAGTAGACTGACAGTAGGTCCTCTAGAGACATTTGGAAATTGTTTTTTTTTTTTTTTTTTTTTTTTTGAGACGGAGTCTCACTCTGTCGCCCAGGCTGGAGTGCAGTGGCACGATCTCAGCTCACTGCAAGCTCCACCTCCTGGGTTCATGCCATTCTCCTGCCTCAGCCTCCTGAGTAGCTGGGACTACAGGCACCCGCCACCAAGCCCGGCTAATTTTTTTTTTTTTTTTTTTTTTTAGTAGAGATGGGTTTTCACCATGTTAGCCAGGATGGTCTCGATCTCCTGACCTCGTGATCCACCCGCCTCGGCCTCCCAAAGTGCTGGGATTACAGGTGTGAGCCGCTGCGCCCAGCCAACATTTGGAAATTCTTAATTCTGATTATGTTTTAAAAAAATTGCACTAGACAAGATGAGCAAACATTGACTTTATTCCGAAACTATTGCCTGAAATAGGGCAGAGATATAGATCAAGTCTCCATACCCAACTCTGCTGAGGCAAAGGGCAGGAGGGTTTTTAAGTGCTGAGTGCTGAACTCTGAGCTAGGGAAAAAGTACTGGAGGACCTCAGGGAAGATGTTGATCAATGGGATATATTGAATGCATTGAGTTATAACTGAGTTTGCAAATGTTTTCTCTGTGATTAGGATCTCTGTGTTTGCTAATTGGTGACTATTCCATGAAGATATGCTGCTACTCTCCCAAAATGACTGAGAAATAGGGATGCTATCACCTTCTATGTTCAGATTTCAGAGATGGTTCCCAGATTCTTGAGGATGACATTTTCTGAATTATAAAACTAGCAAAATATTTACATACATTTCAAAGGGACAGAGAAAAATTTACATTTGTTAAGTATTCTAAAGTAAATGTTCTAAGAAAAGAGAGTTTGGCAGCCTATTGTCAGGAAGAAACCTGTGTAATGTAGGCAAGCTTAGGCTTTTTGGGTCAATTACATTCAAAAATTGCCTAGGAAATGTAAAATGAACAAACCTACCAAAAAACAAAACAAACAAACACATAAATTCCAGGTCCTACTGTGGACCGATTAAATCTGAAAATTAGAATCTCTAGTGACCTGGGCATCAATATTTTGAAAAGCTACTCAGGTGACTGGAATATGGACTGAGCATCATATGTCTATATGCCTGTCCCATAACATTATACTCCAACACCTCTCCCCTAACTGAGCCATAATGGTCTTTAGCCCCATGATCGGCTTATTGGCTAGGATTATTTTAGATGTATTTTTAGATGTAGTGACGGTTTGTAGGGGCAAAGGGGAAGTTTTATCTCTGAAGGCCTCTGAAAATCAACTGACGAAAGGCAGATTAATACAGATTAATAAGAGAAATGGCATAAAAATTTATTAATGCGCATAGGGAGAAATCACAGAGTGATTGCCCCATCACAAAAAGGGGTACAGATGATTAATGCACCTTTCTTCTTAGGCTAAAGGGAGATGGGGAAGTATGGATGATTTTAGGGAAGGTAGTAAGTGATTTTTAGGGGAATCCAATGGGCTTGAAGAACATTCAATGGTTTATGATGAAGTCTATTGGGCCCACAGAGCAGGCAATGGTTCGTGACAAGCCTGTGTGTTTACAGACTTCAGTCTTTCATTCAGGGATATGAGTTCAGTTAATGAAAACTCAGAGAAGGTACCTGGGTTAATTATTTTCTTCTGTGGCAGGCCCAGACTTTAATTACATAAGGGAACTTCAGAGAACAACTTCATTCTGTGCTTTAGGAGATAAATGAGGGACAGGAGAAGAAACGATCAGACGGACTTTGAGGCTTCTTCAGTTCAGTGAGTCAAAGCACCATATTTTGGAGTATTGGTTTCTGAGCTCAACGGTGTAGTCATTTCAGTTTGGGTGATTGCATAATCTAAGTACTTAGTTACATGAATGTGAATGTGTTCTCACAGACACTGTTGGTTGTCATCTGCCTCCCTTCTATAAACTCCTTTGATTTATAGATTCTCAGTTTTGTTTGAGCAGTAACACTCTCAGGGAAAGCATGAACCTCCACAGCTTCAGATAATATATAATGATTGGCCAAAGACAGGTAAAGTGAATGTTTCCCCATTTGCTAAATGCCCATTTATAAGTAAACGTGGCCCAGTACTGACAAATAAGATGTAAGAGAAGTATTCTGGGGACCTACTGGGCAGAATATTTTCCCCGGATATAAAGAAATAGTGAGAAATCTTGCCTCTTTCTTCTACTTTGGATGGGTTGTATAGCACGTAATGCTTGAGGCAGGCATCTTGCAACCAAGAGGTAACAAGCTATAATAAATGATTAAAAGTCAAGTTCTCCAATAGAGTGGAGAGTTAGAGCCTGGATTCTTAATGATATCATGATGTTCTGTACAACAATTAGAACCACTTACTTCCAGATTATATTTTGTGTGTGTGAGATTTCTTTCTCTCATTTAAGCCAGTGTTAATTATTATTGTGCTTGCAACTGAAAGCATTCTACTTGATAATGTGTCATAACATGATGAGCAAAAGCTGAGATTTATAAAGAGGTTGCAGAAGTCATCAATAATGGAAAAGACAGTGCTTGTTCTACGTTTCTGCACATAGCCAGAATTCATCTCTCCTTCTACATCTTAATAATAGAAATACCAGAGTTTCCCTTGTTTTAAAATTGTTAATGTGTGTTTCTGTTCCCTACTGGACTGTGGCTCTCTGGAAAATGAAGACTATGTGCTATTTATCTTGGAGTCTCCTCCAGTTCCAATTTAATGCTTTGCGCATGCTATTTGCCCAGTAAGTGTTGAATCAAGTGAACTAAAGTTTGAGTTTGACAGCTTAGTGATTTATGAGGAGCTGAATGATATGTGAGTTGAATAAAGTTCTCATGGAGATAAAAATATTGGTAGGATTGAACATGTCTTCTGTAAAATGAGTGACATGGAATCTCCTTAAATTGGTCTTTGCACTATCACCATTAAACATCAGCACTTGAATTATCAGGTGTGGGTTGAATAATCTAGAATTAGTTAGAATTAATCTAAAATAATCCCTTTAACTTTTCATTTTCTCAGTAGTAAACTTCTGGTATGCCTGAATAGTTCATTAAAATCACTGTTTTTTTTTTTTTATTACCATTCTTTTTGGAAAGCTGTCCACTATCCTTAAGGATCATGTGAAACTAAGACTGCACCTCAATCCCTTTCACCTCAGCAATAGAATCATCATGTCATTTTGGCTCATTTTTCCCTGCAAGGACAGTCATGTGCATTGATAGTGAAGTTAAAAATAACTCTCTCTGTCTGGAATTCAGGATTGGTAGAAACCTCATCAGCCTACAAGGCCACAGTCTTTCAGAACTGTCAACTGCCACTCAAGGGAGTTAACATAGCTGCAAGGCATTTTAATACCAATATTTTCCTCACAGTCTAAAATGATTCAGGATTGTGCATGAGGGAAAGAAATCCACTAAGGGTATGAACTCAAATGGTCTTCTTTGTTAAAGTCATGTGAATTTTTATTTAACATTATTATCTAATTGCACATAGAGCTCTAAGTTATCCTAGGAAGCTCTACAGTCATGTAGCCTTTTGACTCTAGGGAGATCAGTGCCTATACCATCCTCTACAAATTATTGGCTATTCAGTTTTTAAAGGTTGCCAGACAGGGAATTTTGCTAATATTAAACAGAACCTGACTCTACGTTAATTAGCATTAAAGAAGTTATTTCATCTAATCAGTTGAGCTCTGTGATACTGAAATAAATAATATGTCAATATGACTGTTAAGGGCAAAGAAGTAGCCATTTTTGGTAAGTCTAAAAATAAAGTTTTAAATTTCATTACGAAAAACTTAGCAGATTCTTAGACCTCATTCTCTCTGATAATGTTAGTCTCACCCCAAGTCCTTCTCAAGACAGGTCACTCCAACCATGATCCTACTACCACCCATCATTCCTACCCTTACCTACCCTTAGCAGCCATATCAACATGAACCACAGGAGATTTCATTGCCTGATTTTATACACAACTGTTTGTATGAGGGGTTAAGTGTGTTTCTTTCCTCTCTATGAAATGAAGTGTATAGTTCTTGTGTCTCAGAAAATGTGTTTATGTGGTCTCTCAGCCAGAGACAGACAAATCTAACTAAATAATGTCCCAGCTCTGTACACGAAAATCTACAGAAATTTGCTGGGATAAATTTTATAAGACCCAAATAAATGGTCTTTGCATTGAGTCCAGTGACTCAATATTCTTAAGGTATCAGTTCTCCTCAAGTGGATCTGCAGATTCAAAGCAATCTCAATTAAAATTCAAACAGACTTTTTTTTTGGTAGAAATTGACAAGTGGATTCTAAAATTTTTATAAATTTTAGAGCATTTCTTTAAAAAGAATGATAAAGTTGGAGGATTGACCCTATCTGATTTCAAGACTTATTCTAAAATGACAGAAATCATGAGTATGGTGTCAAGGCTGACAAGTAGATTAATAAAACAGAATAGAGAATCTAGAAATAAATCCATATATATTTGGACAATTGATATTTGACGTTTCAAAGGCAGTTACTTGGAGAAAGAATATTTTTTTTAACAAATGGTGCAGCAACAATTGTAGCTCTATATGCAAAAAGAGGATAAAAAGCAAGAAAGAATCTTGATTCACAGCCCACATCATTTACTAAAATTTAATTTAAAAAGTGAAGTCTAAAACTTAAATTTCTAGGAATAAGCAAAGGAGAAAGATTTGTGATCTGGGCTAGGCAAGATTTCTTAGCTGTGGCACTGAAAGTATAATTTACGAAAGAAAAAATGATGAATTGTACTTCATCCAAACTAAAATCTTCTGCTCTCAGAAAAACACTATTAAGAGAATCAAGAAACAAGAAACAGATTAGAAGAAAATATTTGCAAATTATAAAACATGAATTACATCCAGAATAAAAGAAGATTGTTCCAACTCACAAATATGAAAATAAAAGGGATAATAAAAATAAGCCAAAAACTTACACATACTTTTAACTAAAGAAGATATTTGGATTGGAAAATCCAATTTCATTTGTTTTTAGACAAATTCATTTTAAAAGTCACTCTGTGTTATTCTGAAAAGCTTATTGGGATAATTGAAATAAAAAAGACTAGCCATATCAAATATTAGCAAGGATATCGAGAAAATGGAGCTCTCGTAAGCTGCTGATAGGAATATAAGATGGTACAACCACTTTGGAAAACAGGTCGGCAGTTTCTTAAAAATAAATAAATAAATATACAACTACTATATTATCCAGCCATTCCACTCCTAGATATTTATCTAAGAGGGTATTCACACACAGACTTTTCCAAAAATATTTATAGAAGCTTTATTTGTAATAGCCTCAAACAACCCAAATGACCTTCAACAGAAGAACAGATAAGAAAATTGTAGTATAGCCATATAAGGAACTAATAGTTTCTTATATGGCTATGCTACAATAGTACTAACCCACAAAAACAAACACACTATTGATACAGACAACATTGTGAATGAATTGGCCCCAAATCATGCCATGTGTTAAAAGCCAAGAAAAGAAAGAGAATGTACTATATGATTCTATTTTTACAAAATGCTAGAATATGCGAATTAATCAACAGTAACAAAAAGTAGATTAGTGCTTGTCTGGGAAGAAGGTTAGACGGTATAGGAGGATGGGATTGGTCAGGAGAAAATGAATGGGTTTGATGGATGTTAATTATCTTTATTGTGGTGACGGTTTCTTAGATAAATATTTCAAAACATATCAAATTGTACATTTAAGTTTGTGTGGTTTATTCTGTGTAAATTAGACATTGGTAAAGCATTTTTTTTTAAAAAAGAATCAGTAGGAGATTTTCACTAGTTGTATGTGGGCAGTAAGATTATCTGCCTAAGTTTCTACTTAGGAGTAGAATAGTTGAGTTAGCAGAGGTATATTTAGCCTAAAACTTAAATGACCACCACCACAACAAGGGTAGAGAAACAGGGTAGTTGGTAGTTATGAATGAATGAATGAGTGAATCTCTAATCTACTTATCCCTGGCAAGTTCCATTTGAGAGCAAAGAGCCGAGGAAAGAATGCTAATGAGAAGTCTTGCCTTGCTGGTGCTAGTTATCCAGCACTGGGTAAGAAAGTTCATATTTTTTTAGCCTTAGTTTCCTCACCTCAAAGAGGAGAGCCATGCTGTCTGCTCTGGTATAGGCAAGTTTTTGGTGATGATCAAATTTGATAATTATAGAAAATTATTCCATAAGCTATGAAATGCCATATAAACATGAGCAGTTAAAAATGTATAACCAATTTATCAAATGAAAAGGACACAGTCTGGACCCAACAGAAAATGAATTTGTTATTTTTTCCCCATTACTCTCCTTAAAAACTTGGTCAAATCCTTTTCCTATTTTCTGGATCTCTCAGATGCCTTAGGTTTTCCAGACTTTCTCAGGAATTAACAAATAATCTCATTTTTCCAGGTGTTAAAACATTAACCACATCCGTATAAAAACTCCACTCTCTCATTTGATTGGAAGCTTGGTCCTCCTCCAGTCCCTCCCCCAACACCTAGGCTTGTTGAGATCAGAACCCTGCATGGGAAAGGCCATAAAATTTTGCCTCACTGTTTCTCTCTGTCTTCTTTGCTACTAGGGAGTTCTCTGTTTCTTACCACCACAGTTGGAAGTGGAAGGTTAGCCAATTTTGATTGGACTGGTGTTCTTTAAATTTGTGTTTGGAGTTCTCTATTTGTGAGTGCTCAAATACTACCTTTCTCATATGGTGATTTTGTAGCTTCTTAGAGGATGTACTCCCATTTTTACCCTTTACCTCCAATAGCAGCCTTTCCTGTCTTCAGTGACACATTCATCCACCTGGCTGTTCATAACTTCTTCCTCAGCTCCTGGCTTCCATGCAGGAAGGCTTTTTCTGTTGGGTTGACCTAACCATGCAGTCAGGTCTTGTATGTTAGCATGAGCTAGGTAATTCAGTTCTAGCTCACTTCTGCAGGTGGCACAGCTGGCTTTTGGAAAACAGTCACCTCTGCCCTCCCAGGTAGAAGGCTGACATGTTTCTATTGAAGATATATTGCTTCTCTTCATTACAGTGGCAACTCCCACCAGAATTTAACCTTTAAAAATTGTATACATATGAGTCAGGTATCAGTTGTTGTGGCCACCCAACTTCAAGAACACATACCAAGTTCTCTAAGGGGTTCTCTCTTGAACACCACCCAGCTTAATTGAGGAAGACAATAATAATTGCCTTCTCTGAGCAGAAAGGCAGGAAGAAAGAAATAACCCTTTGACAATCTTCACAAAGGAATTTCCCCAGACATTTTCACTCCTGATGACTCTGAGCCTGCTTTTATGCAGCCGGAGGGTGGAAAGAGGGCTAGTTGTAACTATTGCTTTAGAAAGTGAGGGTTCATATGTTTGTTGGCTGTTTGGTTGTCTTCTTTTGAGAAGTGTCTGTACGCATCCATTGCTCACATTTTAATAGGGTCTTGTGTTTTTTTCTTGTTGACTTTTTTAAGTTCCTTATCGATTCTGGATAGGTAGTTCTTTTTTGTCAACTTTGTCAAAGATCAGTTGGTTGTAGTGTGCAGCTTTATTTTTGGCTTCTGTATTCTGTTCCTTTCGTCTATGTGTCTGTTTTTGTACCAGAACCATGCTGTTTTGGCTACTGAAGCCTTGTACCATAGTTTGAATTCAGGTAATGCAATGCCTCCCACATTGTTCTTTTCACTTGGGGTTGTTTTGGCAATTCAGGCTCTTTTTTTGGTTCCGGAGAAATGCAAATCAAAACCACAATGAGATACCAACTCACACCAGTCATAATAGCTATAATTAAAAAGTCAAAAAATAACAGATGTTGGCGAGGTTGTGGAGAAAAGGGAATACTTATATACTGTCAGTAGTGATGCAAATTTATTCAGCTTCTGTGGAAAGCAGTTTAGAGATTCTGTAGAAAGCAATTTGAAGAATTAAAAGTAGAGCTACCATTTGACCCATTACTGTATATCTACCAAAAAGACACCTGCACTCATATCTTTATCGCAGCACTGTTCACAACAGCAAAGACATGGAATCAACCTAGGCGCCCACAAATGGTGGGATGGATAAAGAAAATGTGATACATATACACCATGGAATAGTATGCAATCATAAAGAAGAGTAAAGTCATGTCCTTTGTAGCAACATGAATGCAACTAGAGGTCATTATCCTAAGTGAATTAATGCAGAAACAGCAAACCAAATACAGCATATTCTCACTTATAAGTGGGAGCTAAACCTTGGGTACACATGGACGTCAAGCTGGGAACAATAGACACAGGGAACTCTAAAAGGGGGAAGAGAGGTAAGCAAGGATTGAAAAACTACCTGCTGAGTACTACGCACACATTTTGGGTGATGGGTTCAATACAAGCCCAAATCTCACCATTATGCAATATACCCATGTAACAAACTTGCACATGTACCCCTGAATCTAAAATTAAAAAAAAAATCACAAAGAATGTAAGGGTTTTTTGGCATATCTGTTTTAAATTTACCTTAGCCGGAAAACACAAATAGTACCTCCTTTTTAAAAGACTAACATTTCATTAAAGAATGAAGCAGAAAAATGCAGTAAATGATCTGTTGTAAATTTGTATTAATGTAGTTTTTATGTGTTGGTAGCAAAGCCAAAAAATAATCTCTTTGCATTCTCTAATAATTTGTAAGACAGAGTATTATATAAAGACTATTGAGTATGCAATTTTTTGACTTGAAAATATAAAGTGAAAGGAAAGTAATGATTATGGGAAAAGATGGAGAATTAATCCATTGTTTTAGTTTTCGGACTAATTCTGGGTAGTGGAGCCTTTTTCATAAAACTTAAAATTATAAAGATAGTTTTATTTACCCTCATCATTACTATTTTAAAAGCATGCACTAGCCAGGTACCTGTAATCCCAGCACTTTGGGAGGCCGACGTGGGAGGATCCTGGTCTTGAGCCCAGGAGTCAGAGATCAGCCTGGGTGACACAATGGGACTCCATCTCTACAAAAATTTTTTTTAAAAATTAGACAATCATGGTGGTGCATGCCTGTAGTCCTACCTACTAAGGAGGCTGAGGTGGGAGGATTACTTGAGCCCAGGAGCTTGAGGCTGTAGTGAGCTGCAATTGTACCACTGCACTGCACCCTGGGTGACAGAGTGGGATTTGTCTCAAAAATAACAACAAATCTCAATAAATAAAAGCAGGAGCTAATGGGATTGATGTCAACATCAACAACAATAATTATTATTTTAAAATATTAATCTTATTGCTTTTATGTGCTATGATCAGAAAGTTTCCATATAAATTTAATACGTCAGAGGGATAGACCTATGATTGAAAGAAATGATTTACATCTGATATGGTTTGGCTGTGTCCCCACCCAAATCTCAACTTGATTTGTATCTCCCAGAATTCCCCTGTGTTGTGGGAGGAACCCAGAGGGAAGTAATTGAATCATGGGGGCAGGGCTTTCCCGAGCTATTCTCATGATAGAGAATAAGTCTCACAAGATCTGATGGGTTTATCAGGGGTTTCCTCTTTTGCTTCTTCCTCATCTTCTCTTGCTGCTGCCATGTAAGAAGTGCCTTTCATCTCCCACCATGATTCTGAGACCTCCCCAGCCATGTGAAACTGTAAGTCCAATTAAACCTATTTTTCTTCCCAGTATTGGGTATGTCTTTATCAGCAGAATAAAAAGGGACTAATACAGTAAATTTGTAGCAGTAGAGAAGGGCATTGCTGAAAAGATACTCCAAAATGTGGAAGTGACTTTGGAACTGGGTAACAGGCAGAAGTTGGAACAGTTTGGAGGGCTCAGAAGACAGGAAAATGTGGGAAAGTTTAGTACCTCCTAGAGATTTGTTGAATGGCTTTGACAAAAATGCTGATAGTGATATGAACAATAAGGTCCAGGCTGAGGTGGTCTCAGATGGAAATGAGGAATTTGTTGGGAACTGGAGCAAAGGTGATCTTTTTATGTTTAGCAGAGACTGGTGACATTTTGCCCCGTCCTAGACATTGGTGGAACATTCAACTTGAGACAGATGATTTAGGGTATCTGGCAGAAGAAACTTCTAAGCAGCAAAGCATTCAAGAGGTGACTTGGGTGCTGTCAAAAGCATTCCATCTTAATTTAAAAAAAGAGCATAAAAGTTCAGGAAATTTACAGCCTGATGATGCAGTAAAAAGGAAAAACCCACTTTTTCGGGAGAAACTCAAGCTGGCTGCAGAAATTTGCATAAGTAACAAGGCAAGAATGTTAATCACCAAGACAATGAGGAAAATGTCTCCAGGGCATGTGATAGGTCTTCATGGCAGCCTCTCCCATCACAGACCTAGAATTCTAGGAGGAAAAATGGTTTCATGGGCTGGGCCCAGGGTTCCTATGCTGTATGCGACCTAGGAACTTGGTGCTCTGAGTCCCAGCCACTCCAGCAGTTGCTAAATGGGGCCAAGGTACAGTTCGGCCCATGGTTTCAGAGGGTGCAAGCCCCAGACCTTGGCAGCTTCCATGTGGTGTTGAGCCTGTGGGTGCATAGAAGTCAAGAATTGAGGTTTGGGAACTTCCACCTAGATTTCAGAAGATGTATGTAAACGTCTAGATGCCCAGTCGAAAGTTTGCTGCAGGGACAGGGTCCTCATGGAGAACCTCTGCTAGGGGCAGTGCGGTAAGGAAAGTGGGGTTGGAGCCCCCACACAGAGTCCCTACTAGGGCACTGCCTAGTGGAGTTGTGAGAGGAAGACCACCATCTTCCAGACTCCAGAGTGGTAGATCCACCGACAGCTTGCAGTGTGTGCCTGGAAAAGCCACAGACACTCAATGCCAGCCTGTGAAAGCAGCCAGGAGGGAGGCTGTACCCTGCAAAGCCACACCAGTGGAGCTGTCCAAGACCATGGGAACCCCCCTTTTGCATCAGCATCACCTGGATGTGAGACATAGAGTCAAAGGAGATCATTTTGGAGCTTTAAAATTTGACTGCCCCGCTGGATTTCAGACTTGCCTGGGGCCTGTAACCCCTTTGTTTTGGCAAATTTCTTCCATTTGGAATGGCTGTATTTACCTAATACCTGTACCCCCATTGTATTTAGGAGGTAACTAGCTTGCTTTTGATTTTACAGTCTCATAGGTGGAAGGGACTTGCCTAGTTTCAGATGAGACTTTGGACTGTAGACTTTTGGGTTAATGCTGAAATGAGTTAAGACTTTAGGGGACTGTTGGGAAGGCATAATTGATTTTGAAATGTGAGAACATGAGATTTGGAGGGGGCCAGGGGCGGAATGATATGGTTTGGCTGTGTCCCCACCCAAGTCTCATCTTGAATTGTATCTCCCAGAAATCCCACATGCTGTGTGAGGGACCCAGGGGCAGGTAATTGAATCATGGGGGCGGGTCTTTCCTGTGCTATTCTTGTGATAGTGAATAAATCTCATGAGATCTGACGGGTTTATCAGGGGTTTCCACTTTTGCTTCTTCTTCATCTTCTCTTGCTGCCACCACGTAAGAAGTGCCTTTCACCTCCCACCATAATTCTGAGGCCTCCCCAGCCATGCAGAACTGTAAGTCCAAGTAAACCTCTTTTTCTTCCCTGTCTTGGGTATGACTTTATCAGCAGCCTGAAAACAGACTAATACAACATCCAATATCTCAAAACCATTGGTGTATATACATAACATTTAATAAAGTCAATAAACAAAGCAGAGAATGGTTGTGTTTAACATTATTTGTAAATACTTTAAAACATAATGAGTTATCCTGCCTTGATTATACATCATAGAAACAGTATTTAACATCACTTTATATATAATAAATGGATAAGTTTTGACTGCTGTTCTTCAAATCTGCTAATGTGAAAACTGTGACTTAATTGTTTACTTTCATCACTAGTCAAGGAAGAAATGTTTACAGTTTACTTACTAAGAAACTGTCATTCTGTATTCTTAGGAGGCCACCTCTTGTCAGACAACTAATGCTAGGAGGATAAAACACATGCTGGAAAAATGACACCTAAACAGCATACTTATGTTATACTTTCCACAAATTAAATTATGTGGTACTAACATCTAATAGCTCTTACTTCACTACAGGCAGTGTTTTAACGTTTTTTTGTCTTAATGTTTTAATGTCTTCTATAAACAAAGACAAGGACGGAATTATAAAACATGTTACATATCATGGTAATTATTTTATATCTGGATCTAGACTTGGATCAAATACGGGGCACTCTTGGTCCCCACATCCTACAAATGTGGGGTTGTATAGTATTTGGCTTGACTTGGTCAATGAACAGTTAGGTAAAAACACTTAATTTCAAATGCCCTAAAAAAATAAAAAATTGCAGGTTTATTTTTAATTGGTTAAATTATTCATATACCAATTTCATCTTTGACATTTCCCCATTATACAGAATTGGGATTGTCTGCATTAGCTAGACCAAAACACTCCATCCTGTGGTTTTTGTTTGTTCTACCTGCATCTGTTGCTTCTCCTTTGAGGTCCACTTCCTCATCTCCTCCACATTTTAGATGTTAAAGCCCTTCTGTTCTCTTTGTGGCTCCTCCTCCTTTTAAAACTGGGAAAGCATTTATTTCATCTTTTTAAACTTGTTAATCAATAGTCTGGTCATTTTTTTTTTCATTTCAAGGAGTTTCAGCCAAAGCTTTAGCTCAGCCAATCACTTGTCTTTCAAACTTTTCATTTCTCATCAGAAATGTGAATATCTTCAAGCATATGGCAAGGTATTTTGAGGAGCGAGTAGGTCCCTGAAATTATACTATAGCAAATTTAAAAGAATCTTGTTGAGGATTAGGATGACTACAATGTGTGGATTGGCAAGGAAGTAGGAAGGCAGAAAGACTTGTCTCCCAGATAATCTCCTCAGAAATTTTGGAATTGAGACCAACTGCTTCCACAGAGCTTAATGTGGAATAAAACTACCTCTGTCAGTTTGACTGCAGCATTTATTTGAGGAGAAAGAAATGTTGGATTTCTTTTTTATGCAGAAAAAATTCTTTTGTATTTCTCTTTTATGCAGGAAAATGATGATATAAAATAATAAATGACTTTAGGAAATTCCTGAAAATCAGTTTTTCCAGACAAATAATTTCCTCATCTGAGTAAACAGGTTTAATAAAATTTTGTCCAGCAAAAGTTTAATAAACCTAACTTGAATCACTGTGACGAAACCTAAAACCCTATAAAAATCTTTATTTGCCCTCCCTTTCTGAGACACTATTGAGATTATCAAGATGTTGTTCATGCTTTCTGAAATAACTTTAATAAACTTTGCTTTGCTTGACCAACAGGGTAATCTGGTGGTCGTTTGGGAGTGGGGGAGCATTAAGGTAGCTGACAAGTCTTAAGTACATTTGTAATGGGGATTGCTTCTGCTGTTATTTTTTTCTGAAATTGACTTGTTCTAGCACAGATGGCCCTGTAGGGGCCTCTAGGGCCTCTTCTCTGCGCTAAAAACACTAGGGAAATATTCTGTTTCTAAAGCTATTGCAATTTTATTTTTACAAACCTGCCCTAATTATAAACAAAAACTTCTACTTCTTGGAACACTTTCCCATTTCTGATTTCTATTTCTAGAAACTACATTTCTGATAGAGTTGTCTAAATTTAGGTAATTTAAATAATCATTTCTAGCAAGGGATTTTAGGAATAGATAACAACTGAGGTTTCTTTGAATGCAAATATTTCAAGATTCTCTGAGCTTGTATTTGGATTTGTTCTCTTTATGAATAGGCAAGACACTTGGACAAAAATATCTGTCACTCAACTAATAATCGTGGTTGATTTAGCTGTTTTGCCTGACATAGATTTACTTTTCCTCTTACAAGAGCTACATAGAATCTTCCTGAATCTGAGAGTTTATCTGAAATAATAACATTTTAGTAGTGATTTATCACATTGTAGAGTTCAAAGAGCAGAACAACAAAAGCGTGTACTCCAGATTAGAGATCTGTGAGCACAATGCAATTACTTCTTTACTTTATACTTTCTAAGGCCTAAATGAAATTATAATAAGAAGGCGCTCACTTCAAAATAACTTCCAACAAAAAAAAATTAGAAAGTTATCATTATTAATATGATCTAAAAATTAGTGAGGAACGGACAGGCTTCAATGAATAAACACTTTTGCACCTACATTCAGAATGATCAGAAATTACATGAAGCCATTGGGCTGTAATTTTTTGGTTTATAAATACATATGTGATATTTTTCAGAAATGAAATGAATTGCAGCATATGGTACCTTGGGTTTTTTGTTTGTTTGTTTTTTGTTTTTTTTTTTGAGACGGAGTCTCGCTCTGTCGCCCAGGCTGGAGTGCAGTGGTGCGATCTCAGCTCACTGCAAGCTTCGCCTCCCGGGTTCGTGCCATTCTCCTGCCTCAGGCTCCCGAGTAGCTGGGACTACAGGCACCCACCACCACGCCTGGCTAATTTTTTTGTATTTTTAGTAGAGACGGGCTTTCATTGTGTTAGCTAGGATGGTCTCGATCGTCTGACCTCGTGATCCGCCCGCCTCGGCCTCCCAAAGTACTGGGATTACAGGCATGAGCCACCGTGCCCGGCCGGTACCTTGGGTTTTAAGATAACAGAAAATATTTACAGATTAATATTTTCTGAAATTTAAAGTATTTTTATAAGAGATATACTGTTAACAAATGACTAGGAAAGAGAATGTAACTTATTTTAGAGAAAAGAATACTCAATACACAATCCTATAAATAATATGAACATTTAAATGGAAAACAGGGAAAAAATAGTTAATTATAGACATTGAAATATAAATGGTTAATAATTATATAAAAACATTTAATTTTGCTAGTAGCTATATAAATAAAAATTAAAATATCAATCAGATAAAACTTTTCAGCAGTCATATTGGTAAAAATTTTAAAAGTGCAATTATAAAATTTTAGTGTACACATAAATACCTGGGAATGTTTTTAAAGTGCAGATTATTGTTTGCTGGGTCTAGGAAGGGACCTGAGAGTCTGTATTTCTAACAAGCTTCCAAAAGATGCTGATGTTGGTCTGAGGTCCACACACTGAGAAGAAAAGGCTTAACAGACACTTAACCCACTAACTTAAAAAAAAAAAAATTCTCCCTTAAGCCTGAAAATAGTGTCTAAAATCTCATATGCAATAGACATTCCTTTAGGTTAATTCATTATTCCTAAGAGGGCAACATTAGGTTTTACCATAGCTAGATGACATTTTACAATGGAATCTCATGAACCAATTAGCATTGGACTTCATCAGATTAGCTAGTTTTTAATGAAGCATGACATTGAAAGAATGGGATACAGAAAAGTTATGTTCGCATTGGAAACTGAAAAAAGAGGCAAAGATCTAGAACACAGAGATGGCTAGGTGGAGGGTTAGCAGGGCCTGTGTGGCAAAATGACAATGTCCTTCCTATCTGTACAGGGGATCTCTTAAAAGGACAAGGAGCAGCATTAGGAAAGGGAAGGGTGTTAGAGATGGATTTTCATCCTAGACACCAGCACAGAAGGAACTCTGAAAAATGTGAGTACAGTATAAACAGTGGGAATTAAAAAGGTAAACACTTTCTGGTTGTATCTGTTTTTAAAGACAATGACAACTACTGTATAATGTTGGGGTTTAAAAAAGAAGTGTTTGGAATATAAAATCATTCTTTGGTTTAAAAATACTGAATTTAATAGAATTGATTATTTTCACACTAGAAATAACCCACTTGCCTACCCTAGTGAAAAACTAAGAAATACAAGGAATTAAAAGCATGAATCAAGTTATTATTGCTTTATTCTCAAAAACCTTGTGATTACAAGCAGATTCTAAAAATTAAGTTTAAATCCACTATGTATTGTTCAGTCCAGATTCTTAAAATTAAGTTTTAATCCACAATGTATTGCTGTGCTCAACAAAGCCAGTTTAGTAGATACTGTGATTTTCTATAATGTTCAGCATCAGCCCTCCTCATGGGTAATTCTGCTCAGGGCCTGGCATCCCAGGGAAGATAAAGCAGCAGAGATATGTCCACTTCCTGGTTTTGTCTATATCACACTCCTCAGAACGCCCTTAGAATTCTGACTTTCCTGTCAAGAGAGGACTATACTCACAATAAGGGTCTATTGGCTGGCCCAATGTCTGAATAAGATACACAACATAAAAAGATTCAACAGGGCTGTGGTGTTTGTATTTGTATGACATCTACATAATGCATTTTTAAGAGGGATTGTACAGTAAACACAAAGATGTCAAACAGTCTCATTATCTTTCAAAGGAGGCCTGTCAATACTCCTTTGAAACAGAGCTATGGATTAAAAGCTAGCTGAGGGATAAAGAAAAGTTAAAGTGTAATCATTTTTGATGAATGAAGGGGAGCTATCAAGTGGAGTGCTAAAGAAATCCGTGTGAGACCTCACATTTAACATTTCTCACATTAATCACCCAAAAGAGAAGGTAAACATACATTAATTAAATCAGCAGATGATACTAAAGCTCATCATTAACTCCAATACAGGGCAATATTTTCATAAAAGAAACTCTTTGAGTTGGGAAATGAGAGCATAAAATTCCTAAGTCAGATTTTGTCATTTTAAAACAATGCAAGTTTATCAAGGTATCAGCATCTTGCAACAGAAAAAAAAAAAAAAAAAAAAAAAAACTACAATGTCTTTTCCTTCTCTTCCTCCACCTCCTCCTTTCCTAACTGTTTATTATACAATGTTCACTATGGACAAAATTGAAAATATATATAATTAAAAAGAACAAACATTAATAGCTATCATCAACATTTTGCTTTTTATTTTCCAGACAATTTCCTTTATGTATATAACACATTCACTTATATTTTTTAGTTTCTCTAAATTTAAAATTTTTAATGGCAATGTCTTTCTCTATTAAGAAAGTTTATTTAAGTATTTTGTATCCTGTCTTCAAGATTTATCCATGTTAGCGTGTGTCAGAATGTTCTTCCTTTTGAAGTCTGAATAACATTTCATTGTATGTATATACCATATTTCTTTATCCATTCATCCATTGATGAACACTTGGGTTGCCACCTTTTGACTATTTTGAATAATGCTGCTGTGAACGTGGATGTAGTCCCTGGTTTCAGTACTTTTGGAGATACAGCCAGAAGTGGAATTGTTGCATTACATAATAAATTCTGTTTATAATTTCTTGAGGAACTACTATACTGATTTCAAAAAAAGCTGCACCATTTTACATTCTCACCAGCAGTACACAAGGATTTCAACTACTTTTCTTTGAAAGATTGGCGATTCCATTTTTTTTCCACTAATATGTAGTAGAAAGCTTTCTTCCTAATATCTGATACCCTCTATTAAAATACTACATTTGCTTTAGTAGAACACTTTGCCTTTTTATATAAATAGAAAGGAACTTATAGATGATAAAGAAGTGCAAATGTAACATCTGCCAACTCGCCATTGCTTTGATACTGACCTGGTATACTCCATTTTTCAGTCTGCCAAAAAGATCCCAGATGTTTCTGTCAGCCATGAGGAATACAAACCTTTGTGATTAAGTATTTTAAGTCTTTTAAGAAAAAGAATTCATAGAAAATTTTAGGTATAGAAAATGCACTTTGTTGTGTATTTTACTCACTGCCAAAGAGGCAAAAAAAAAAAAAAAAAGTGAGAGAAATAAATAATACTCCAGAAATTAAAACAATAGCTTAATGAAATCTATTTTGGTTCCATCTATTATTGTATAACACATAAGCATAACTATCTCTCAATTGCTTAAACATTTCTTTCTTTCAAGGCCTCTTCATAATGATCATATACGCTTCTGTGGGTATTGATTGCATGCCATTGAACAAAGGAATACATAGAACACTAATCTGCTTGATACTTTTACCTAGTACACATGTGATTTCAAATTATTTCAATTCTTATGGCAGGTTAGTAGGGCATAACATTAATAGACGGTCAAGCACACAAAACCTCTCATCCATTTCAGTGGTTGTAAGCCATTTCAACAGATATCTGTAGTTGCTGACTGCAGGGTATGAAGGAAAAAAAATAAGAATCAAATGGGAAGATTTAAACAGAACTGTGGTCAATGAACACATCAGTAAAGTGAAAGTATCAATTGTCCCATTACTGCCTGCAATTGAGAAGGCTTCAAAAGATCTTGACTTTTGCTCCTTATCTAAAAATTTATATTTGACTTGATTTACCTGATTTACTAGTTTTTTATTCTAAGCTCTCAAATCAGGGTAAAAGTACAGACTCCTAGTTTTGTCTGCAATAGGATTAACATATGTGGAGCATGTGGGATTTGTTAATAGTGTGCTTTGCTGGGCCAACAGCCTCAATGCCAGCCTAATTGATCCAAGTAGTAGTTGGTTCCTTAATGAAGATTCCACAACGTAATTGTTGTAGAAAAATAATGATTACTTTAGGACAGATGGCAAAGTGGCAAGATGGGGAAATTGTCCATATAATTCTGAGTCTAAATCCTGAGCTTGATGAAGGATAAGTGTTTGAATACTCCAGGAGAGGTATTTATAACAGCTCTGAATCACCCACTTACTGCTCAGCTCTTCATTCTCTTTTCCTTAAATAATGTAAGCTTTGCCTGTAGGGCTGAAAAAATGAATGACAATATTAATCTTTAAACTAATTAAATACTTTGAGTAATGCCAAAACATTGTTATATTTGTGCCTGTGTGTATTCTAAATTCCAAAATGCAAAAATAAAAAAATAAAATTTAAAGTCCAGAAAAATGTATTTTAAAAATTAAACCATAAATGGTTCACTCAACCATCTGGATTATTTTAGATTAAATGTGAATACCCCCTGTTTTGGCTTTTACATTTGTTTCTGCAGCTGTAGGCCTATGTTCAAACATCATCCAGTTCAGCACATACCTCTCCAGAACTATGAGCATACAGACACATTTTTTATTTAATGTAATAAAGGAAATATTTGGTACATTGCATCAAAAACTAATTTTTAAATGATCCATTACTATTTTTAAACCAATAATTTGCTTTTTGGCTATATCATCTACTCTAATAGAATATATGACACTGAGAAAATTTTTCTTGATGTAACTTTAAAACCCAATTAACCAAGCACAAAGGAAATTACGGATTGATTATAGCAGAAATTTTCAAGCTAAACTGAGTAAAATATTGAAATATTATATAAAAATTTATAAATGTAAGTTTATATACACATTATTTTTCTAAAAGTGGTTTTAACATTCATTTAATTGCCATAAGAGTGGTCTGTAATTCAAATCAGATTAGGACTACCAAAATACATACAGTGTTATGGTATACATGCTTTTCAAAGGATTTTGCCTAATTGTTTCTGAGGTTCTTTTTTTTCCATGTATCTGCCTAGAGGGGACATATATAAATCAGAGTACACAATAATTATCTCATTGGTTCAGTACATGTGTTCCAATTGCTGTATCAGCCATTTTTATTAACCACCACTACTGCTTAGCTATTGACAATGTGGGTACTTTACTTCACAACCTCCCTTTGTGTTGATAGATCTGTCTAGTCATGAATGATATATTACAACACATTTCTAGCATTCATTCATTCATTTTGGAACATTTTTTGAGCACCACTAAATACCATACGAAGTGTTCCATGAGCCAAATTAGGTGAAGATAAGATCTAGTATTAGAAAGGTAATAAGAGGTCCTACCTTCAAAAATATGCATACCAGGCTAAGGATTTGGGCATTTATTTGTAGAGGATAAGAAGGTATTGGAGGGTTTTTAGCTGAGAGATGACACATTGAATTTGCATTTTCCATGGATCATTCTGGCAGTAGAATGAAAAATGAATTTGAGTTCAGAAGCAAAAGTGTGAGAGATAGAGACAGAAAACTCACTTCTGCCAAGTGGAGGCTGGAATCTAAGAGAGTGGACTGATTTCAGGAATATTTGAGAGAAAAAATTCACAGGACATAAATCAGTTTAGCTATAATTGAGATAGAGAAGATAGAGGAAGAAATGATATTGGAAGAAAAACTAACATTTCAGTTTAGGGTTTTTGTTTTGCTTTGTGTTTTTTTTTTAATTTTATTTCCAGTTGGAACTGTACAGCAGACATCTGAAGATGCAAATTTTAAATCTGGAGAATAAGTTTAGAATTAAACGAAATTTGAAAATGATCATTTTTATAGTAGGTAAATCATACAAATACGTAAAATTATGAGAATACTTAGAATGAGAAGAGTAATAGGATAATATCTGAGTCCTGAATTTTATGACTTCGTAAATTTTCAAGGGTGGGCATGTGAAGAAGGGGTCCTTGAAAGAGAAAGAAAAGGAATGATCAGAAAAGTTGAGGATCAACAGAAGATAGACTATCATTAAGGCAAGAGAATAAAGAGTTTAAAGGAGGAGGGAAACTTCAATAGCGTCAAGTGATGTAGGTATGAACAGAAAAACACTTTTAAATTTGGTAGTTTATGAATTGCTGCTGATCAATGAAATCATCTTCACAAATCTGCTTGCCTCTTTCAACATACTTAACAAATTATATGAAAAAACCTAATTTTATTGATATTATACTATTTCCATTTTATATGAGGAATCAAACCGTTATACATGTTTACGTAATGTTATTATATATTCTATATTTTTCCAATTATGTTTACTCAGATAGTTCAATTGCTAAAATGAGTATTACGAGCTCATTCAATGAGAGATTTTATATAACAATATATCATAATTTTCCTGATGTTTTCACTTCATCATAGAAGAGCAGTTGGGGGCAGCAAGGGGGAATGATGGGATATTTACATAAGCAAAATCCAGTTATTGGATGAGGGTTGCCTTAGAGAGTGGTGTAATTTAGGACAGGCATAATTTCCCTTGACTGTTTTGGTCAAGGGAAATTCATGGGGAGGGACTAGGCTTCCCGTCAGTGAGCAACACTCCCAGCACCTAGGGGAATGGTGCTCAGTCCTGAAACCAGGGTTCTGGGCAACACCACAGCATTTCCTCGTCATTCTTGTAAAATAAACACACAGAACCTGGCATATAGTATATACTTAGTAAATGTTAACTGATCTTATTACATGTTTGAATAAAATACCTAAAGACTTTATGTGGCTACAAGTCTTTACATTGCCTAGCCCCTACAAAACTCTTCATCCTCAACTCGTACACTTGTTCAAGTCTCCCTCACCCCCTTCTACATTTTGTGTTTCCTAAACTTGTCATCCTCCTAGTCTGCAAATACAAAGTTTCCTTTAGCTAGAATCCACCCCTACCTCCCAAATTCTTAATTAATTTCTCTTAATTCACAACTCAAAACCAAGTGTCACTCTCCAGGGAATTTCTGTTACTCCCAAAACATGGGGTTTCTCCTGCTTGATATGCTTATGGTGTTATGTGACTTTTGCTTCAAAGCACATATGACCATTGAAACTAGACTGATATTTGGTTGACTGTTGATTAATATAATAGCTAAATCCTTCCTAGACAGGAAGCACCATGAGGGCAGGAAATACATTTGTTTCTTGCCTCAATACCTAGCAATAAAATTGTCCTTAGTACCTAGCAAGAAATAATTATTTGAAGAAAGGAGTTAATGAATAAACCCGTGTTGACTAAATGCTCTGAAATGAATAAACATTTTCTATAATATATACAATAAAATTATAATAATACTATTAATAGAATAATCATATCCCAAATTTCAGGATTTTGTTTCCTCTATCTGGTCTCTTTTACAACACTGTATTTAAAAAATAACACTAATGAGTATATATATGTAAACAGGGAACTGATCCTAATTAGTTGTGATCTACTTAACTATAGGAAGGATTCATTTAGTGAAGTAAGGGGTTCCATTAAATAGCAGTAGCATTTTTTCTTTGTTTTCTATAGTGAACTAGGAAAAGTCTGCAGCTACGAGTAGGTAATTCTTGCATACCTAGCTGTAATCTGGACCATCATGACAATAAGAGTGTGTTATTCTCTTGCTAAATCTTTTTATCTTCACAGCTGAAAACATGTTTCTGTCTCTAAGATGAAATATCTCCCTTTGATCCAATTTACTGAAAAATGCTCCAATTAAATTGAGTATATATTTTCAATTGCAATTGAATTCTAGTGTAGTAATTAGTGCACTAAGCTAAAGGTTCTTCCTGATTAAAATTAATGAGCTAGAAATGCTATAGCAGCTTGGCCTGCGAAGGGGGTTCTGGGAGGCTTTGGATGTGGGTACTAACATGAACACCAGCTTTACCCACTTCTAGAGTAGAAATATTTATAAACAACATGAGTTAACTGCTCAGCATGAAAACTTCCTGAAAAGTTTTATCTTCCTGCTATATAACAGTCTTTGACTGTGGGCTCTCAATGTTTACTATGCTTAAGAATCACCTGGAGATCTTGTTAAAAATGCATATTCTTAGTTAAAAATGCAGATTCTTAGCCCCGCATCCAGATACTTTAATTTGGTTGCCTTAACACCTTAGGTAATTCTGATACAAGTTTCCAGAACAAGGAGATTATGTTCCAGCTCCTCAGATTAATGCCTGTGGAGCTCTCTAGCCTGGCACCCACCCTGCTTCCTTCCCAACCAACTTCACACTTACAGGAAGCGCTGACCACAACATTTAGGTTACTTTATGACCTATGCCTTTCTTCATACTTTCCCCTCTGCTTTGACTGCTCATTACCACCCACCTTCTTCATATTTAGGTCCAGTTTCAAGGGTCTTCAGAAATGTCAATGATCCTTTGAAAACCTCTGCCTCCTCATTGTGCACCTGTTCTGCACCACAGAGCAGAGACAGCAAATAGACAACATGCAGACTGACCCTCTCCATCCCAGGCCTATGGCAGTCATCACCAGTTGATGATGTTGTAGACTCCTTTTCACATCCTTCTAAATCATGCTCTAGTAGCTATCATCAACCTATGAAGTTTGGTAGATGAAATAAAACCTATTGGCCATTCCAGTTGTTAATTATTTTATTATAACACCTATAGTATTCTATTACATTCATTTGTTTATATATGTGTCTTCTATTAGACAGAGATAGCTGGCACAAAGTCGACCCATAATCAAGATTTGATTAATTAATTTATAGCTGAATAATACTTCTTTCTTGCATAAAAGAATATACATTTTCCATGTTCACCTACATTTTAGAAATAGCTTCTGCTTTTATTCCTTAGATTATAGCTTCACTTAGTTAATGTCTTCATAATCATTCAACTGAAGTCAATAGCTAGATGCAAATGAGTCTGTCTGACGGATATTTTTGTTATGTCATTTGTATGTCATGAAGATCTCTAAGCCAAAATATACAACAATGAACTCCTTCTTACTGGTGGTTTGAGTAAAGAATTTAGATTGCTCAACTCACAAGCATCAGGAATTAAAAGAAGATGAGAAATCTGAGACTAAAGGCTCCTGTGTCTTAATTCCCACTTACCTTTGGGTCATTTTATAATCATTACAGTGATAACATTTATTGAATATCTTCTAAGCCTCTGACTTTTAATATATGAAGCTTTTACACTACTGACCTGCCCTTAAAGAGCTTTAATAATGCTTATTCTTTTTAATGAAGTGAGATAAGATTGCATTGGAATAGAATATGTGTAATCAGAAAAAAGGAATCAGGAGGAGCAAATGTTCAGAGCATAACAGGTACAGTTAATAAGTACTTCATAGAAGCATTAAAATTTCCAAAGACCTTGTTAATAACAAGAACAGTACCATTTAGAACATTACTGTGGATTTATATAATAAGTATCCTTCAAAAAGCTTGAAATAAAATGAATTTGCTAAAGTTGTTCAGTTGATGAGTTGTCTCTCCAAATAAAGTGGGTGAGGGAAAACACACACACACACACACATACACACACACACACACACACACACACACACACACAAAACCAGTAGCTTCCTGAGCGCTCAACTATGACTAGACATCAGACAAATATTTAGTGAGAGAATTAGCTGGCAAAACATGTGCTGGTATATACATTTATGGGATCTATCTATCTATCTATCTTTCTTTCTTTCTTTCTTTCTTTCTTTCTTTCTTTCTTTCTTTCTCTCTCTCTCTCTCTCTCTCTCTCTTTCTTTCTCTCTCTCTCTCTTTCTTTCTTTCTTTTTGCTTTTTTTTGACACGGAGTTCTGCTCTTGTTGCCCAAACTGGAGTGCAATGGCGTGATCTCGGCTCACTGCACCCTCCGGCTCCTGGGTTCAAGCGATTCTCCTGCCTCAGCCTCCCGAGTAACTGGGATTATAGTCGCGCGCCTCCACGCCTGGCTAATTTTTTGTATTTTTAGTAGAAATGGAGTTTCACCATGTTAGCCAGGCTGGTCTCAAACTCCTGACCTCAGGTGATCCGCCCGCCTTGGCCTCCCAAAGTGCCGGGATTACAGGAATAAGCCACCATGCCCGGCAGTGGGATGTTAGTTTCTAAAGAGTAATGCCGCAGTCGTTCTAAAACATCAAGAGCTTCATTACAAAATAAAGGCTCTTGAAGGCTGTTCTTGATTGCCACTTTAATTGTCCTCACATCCTGTTCACCCTTCCTTCTAACATCAGACCCTATTCGTTTTGTCAGTTTAAGAATTGCTCTAAGCTGAATATTCAGGTTTAGACCACTTTGCCTAATGGAAAATACCATAGTGAGAAATTGATGTGTTTCAAAATGCTCTTACTTTTGTCTTTAAAAAAATTATATCAAAGTTACAATTGCCAAGAATGATTATTTGTGTCCGTGAGAGAGATATTATGAAGAATGAATAAATCATCAGGGTTTGAGACAAATGCAGCATGGGGTAAGTACAAGACGATTAGTCAGAGCATTGGTTATGATAGCAAGTGATTGGGAATAATCTAAATTATGAATTTCTAAATTAATAATCTATTGATTTCCAACTAATAACCTAAATGTCCATCAATAGTAGACTGGCTAACAAATTGTGATACACCCATATTATGGAAGAGTGGGTAGCCATAAAAGAAAGTTTTTTCCTAAGCTTATATTGAAAATTAGTTACAAAAACAACAAGTTATAGAGGAATATATATTATATGATACTTTCTGTTTAGAAAGGAGAGATTATATATGCACATAGATATACATATTTGCTTATGTATGCATTTTTTTTTCTTTTAGGACACATAAGAATCTGCTAACATTATTAGGACAGGTACCTAATGCATGCAGGGCTTAAAACCTAGATGATGGGTTGATAGGTGCGATGAACCACCATGGCACATGTGTACCTATGTAACAAACCTGTAAGTTCTGCACATGTATCCTGGAACTTAAAGTAAAAAAAAAAAAAAAATAAATTACTCAGTATAAATTGCAAAAAATCTGCTAACCATGATTGCTAACATTTGCAATTTGAACCATGTGACTATAAAACTTTTTTCAAAAACATAGGCAAATACATTTTTGAAAATTAAATTATAAATACAAGGATACAGATGCCATAATTTTGCCTGGGTTTGAAACCTGGATCCCCTAATTCCAGCTGTGTAAATCTGAGTAATTTCATTTAACCCTTGTGAATCATAGTCCTCATCTGCAAAATGAGGTTAATATAGTGCCTACTCCACATCTTTTGGGAAAGATTAAATGAGATGGTATATGGAAAGCATTTTCTGACAAATGATAGCACTCAAATGATATTGTCATTATTTTTACAGCATTTCAATGGGCTTATTTGCCTGGTTTAAATAATCCTTTCTTTTTCAAAAGTGGCCCAGAATTCTGACTGGCGAATTTAAAGAATTGTCCATTTCCCAACAGCCAGAAATTATAAGGAAACTGGAAAATGAAAAAGCTGCTTATGTTGAATTCCAAAATCCTTTTTTGAAAGATTTTACTGTGGTTAGTAGGTTACATACTCCTTGAAATGGAATTTCTCACTCTATGAATTTGAAATCTTGAAAGTTTCAAGTGACCTCCTAATTGTTAAATGTAATTTCTTTCTCTCTTTTCATTCTTTTTTTTTTTTTTTTTTGAGACAGAGTCTTGCTCTGTTGCCCAGGCTGGAGTGCAGTGGTGCGATCTCGGCTCACTGCAACCTCCATCTTCCAGGTTCAAGCAATTCTCCTGCCCAGCCTCCTGAGTAGCTGGGATTACAGGTGCCTGCCACCATGCCCAGCTAATTTTTGTATTTTTAGTAGAGACGGGGTTTCATCATGTTGGTCAGGCTGGTCTCGAACCCTTGACCTCGTGATCCACCTGCCTCAGCCTCCCAAAGTGTTGGGATTACAGGCGTGAGCCACCGCGCCTGGCCTCTTTTCATTCTTTAATGATTTTTTTTCAGTTTTTAATTTTGGTGGGTACACAGTAGGTATACATATTTATGGGGTACATGAGATATTTGGGTATCGGCATGCCATACATAATAATCACATCATGGAAAATGGGGTATCTATCACCTATGTATTTATCATTTGTGTTACAAACAATTCAATTACACTGTTTTAGTTATGTTAAAACATGCAATAAATTACTATTGACTGTAGTCCCTGTTGTGCTGTCAAATATTAGGTCTTATTCATTCTTTCTAATTATTTTGTTTCTGTACCCATTAACCATCTCCACCTATCCTTTCCCACCCCAACTAGCCCTCCCAGCCTCTGATAACCATTCTTCTATTCTCTATCTTCATAAGTTCAATTGTTATGATTTTTTGATACCACAAATAAGTGAGAACATGGGATATTTGTCTTTCTGTGCCTGGCTTATTTCGCTTAACATAATGATCGCCAGTTCCATTCATGTTATGGTAAATTACAGGACCTCATTCTTTTTTATTATTGAATAGTACTCCATTGTGTATAAATACCACAGTTTTTAAGCCATTCATCTGTTGATGGACCCTTGGCTGTTATGAACAGTGCTGCCACAAACGTGGGAGTGAAGATATTTCTTTGAAACACAGATTTACTTTCTTTTGGGTATGTACCCAGCAGTGGAATTGCTGGATCGTATGATGTTTCACGTGCGTCCATGTGAAGAGATCACCAAACAGGCTTTGTGTGAGCAATAAAGCTTTTTAATTACCTGGGTGCAGGCAGGCTGAGTCCAAAAAGAGTCAGCGAAGGAAGATAGGGGTGTGGCCATTTTATAGGATTTGGGTAGGTAGTGGAAAATTACAGTCAAAGGGGATTGTTCTCTGGCTGGCAGCGGTGGGGGTCACAAGGTGCTCAGTTGGGGAGCTTTTGATCCAGGATGAGCCAGGAGAAGGAATTTCACAAGCTAATGTCATCAGTTAAGGCAGGAACCGGCCATTTGCACTTCTTTTTGTGATTCTTCAGTTACTTCAGGCCATCTGGATATATACGTGCAGGTAACAGGGGATATGATGGCTTAGCTTGGGCTTAGAGGCCTGACACTATAGTTCCATTTGTAGTTTTTGTGAGGAACCCCCAAGCTGTTCTTGATAGCGGTTGTACTAACTTACATTCCCACTAACAGTGTACCATGATTCCCTTTTCTCCACATCCTCGCCAGCATTAGATATTGCCTGTCTTGGATATAAGTCATTTTAGCTAGGGTGATATGATATCTCATTGTAGATTTGATTTATCTGATGATCAGTGATGTTGAGCATCTTTTCATATGCCTCTTTGCCATTTGTATGTCTTCTTTTGAGAAATGTCTATTCAAATCTTTAGCCCACTTTTAAATCAGATTATTAGACGTTTTTTCCTACAGAGTTGTTTGAGCCCCTTATATATTCTGGTGATTAATCCTTATCACATGGGTAGTTTGCACATATTTTCTCCCATTTTGTGAGTTTTTGCTTCACTTTGTTGACTATTTCCTTTGCTGTGCAGAAGCTTTTTTAACTTGATGTGATTTCATTTGTCCATTTTTGCTTTGGATGCCTGTGCTTGTGATGTATGACTCAAGAAATTTTTGCACAGACCAGTGTCCTAGAGAGTTTCCTCAATGTTTTCTTTTAGTAGTTTCATAGTTTTGAGGTCTTAGATTTAAGTCTTTTATCTATTTTTATTTGATTTTTGTATATAGTGAGAGATAGTTTTATTCTTTTGCATATGGATATCCAGTTTTCTCAGCAACATTTATTGAAGAGACTATCTTTTCCCTCGTGTATGTTCTTGGCACCTTTGTCAAAAATGAGTTCATTGTAGGTGTGTGGATTTGTTTGTTGATTATCTATTCTGTTCCATTGTTCTATGTGTCTCTTTTCATGCCAGTACCATGCTGCTTTAGTTAATATAGCCCTGGAGTATAATTTGAAGTGAGATAATGTGATTCCTCCAGTTTTGTTTTTTTGTTTAGGATAGCTTTGGCTATGCTGAGTTTTTTGTGGCTTCATATAAATTTTAGGATTGTTTTTTCTATTTCTATGAATAATGTCATTGCTATTTTGACAGGGATTACATTGAATCTGGAAATTGCTTTGGGTAATATGGACATTTTAACAATATTGATTTTCCAATCTATGAACGTGGAATATCTTTTCAATTTTTTGTGTCCTCTTCAATTTCTTTTGTCAGTGTTTTATAGTTTTTATTACAACCATCTTTCTCTTCTTTGGTTAAAATAATTCCTAGGTTATTAACTTTAATTGTGGCTGTTGTAAACAGGTTTACTTTTTATTTCTTTTTCAGATTGTTCAGTGTTGGCATATAGAAATGCTACTGGTTTTTGTACATTGATTTTGTATTTTGCAACTTTACTGATTTTGTTTATCAGTTCTAATAGGTTTTTGGTGGAGTCTTTCAGTTTTTCCATATATAAGATCTTATCATCTGCCAACAAGGATAATTTGACTTCTTCCTTTCCAGTCAGTTTGGATGCTCTTTATTTCTTTCTCTTGTCTGGTTGCTCTGGCTAGGACTTCTAGTACTATGTTCATTAACAGTGGTGAAAGTGGACATCCTTGTCATGTTCCAGATCTTAGAGGAAAGGCTTTCAGTTTCTTTCCCCATTTAGTATGATACTAGCTGTGGGTCTTTCATATATAGCTTTTAATATGTTGAGGTATATTCCTTCCATACTCAGTTTTTTGAGGTTTTTAATCAGGAAGGGATGTTGAATTTGGTCAAATGCTTTTTCAGCATCAATTGAAATAATCACATGATTTTTGTCCTTCATTCTGTTAATATGATGTATCATGTTAATTGAATTGCATATGCTGAAACTTTTTTGCATCCCTGGGATAAACCCCACTTGGTTGTTATGAATGATCTTTTTAATGTATTATTGAATTCAATTTGCTGTTTTGTTGAGGAGTTTTTCATCGATATTCATCAGAGGTATTAGCCTATTGTTTTGTTTTGTTTTTTGGTGTGTCTTTAATTTTGGTACCAGAGTAATACTGGCCACATAGAATAAGTTTGGAATTATTCCTTCCTCCTCTATTTTTCAGAATAGTTTGAGTAGGGTTGGTATTAGGTCTTCTTTAATTGTTTGGTAGAATTCAGCAGTGAAGCCACCAGGCCTTGGGCTTGTCTTTACTGAGAGAGTTTTTATTACAGCTTTGATTTCATTACTTGTTAGTCTGCTCAGGTTTTGGATTTCTTCATAGTTCAATCTTGGTAGATTATATATGTCTAGGAACTTCTCCATTTCTTCCAGATTTTTCAATTTGTTGGCATGTAGTTGCTCATAGTAGCCACTAGTAATCCTTTGAATTTCTGCTGTGTGAGTTGTAATGTCTGTTTTTTCATCTCTGATTTTATTTGGATTGTCTTGCCTTTTTTCCTAGCCAGGCTAAAGGTTTGCCAATTTTGTTTAACTTTTAAAAACCAGCCTTGTATTTAATTGATCTCTTGTGTTGTTTTCTTCATTTCAATTTCATTTATTTCTGCTCTGATCTTTATTATTTCTTTTCTTCTACTAATTTGGGTTTAGTTTGCTCTTGCTTTTCTAGTTCTTTAAAATGCATTGTTAGGTTGTTTATTTGCAGTTTTTCTTCTTTTTTGACATAGGAACTTTGAATTGTAAACATCCCTCTTAGTACTGCCTTTGCTGTATCCCAACAGGTTTTGACATGTTGTATTTCCATTGTCATGTCATTTGTTTCAAAAAAATTCTCAATTTCCTTCTTAATTACTTCGTTGATCCACTGGTCATTCAAGAGCATATATTTAATTTTCATATATTTGTATACTTTCCACAATTCCTCTTATTAATTTCTACTTTTATTCTATCGTGGTCAGAGAAGATGCTTGATATCATTTTAATTTTTTTGAATGTTTTAAGACTTGTTTTGTGACTTAACATATGGTCTATCCTTGAGAATGATCCGTGTGCTGGGGAAAAGAATGTGTATTCCGCAGCTGTTAGATGAACTGTTCTGTAAATATCTATTAGGTCTATTTGGTCTACGGTACAGATTAAATCTGATGTTTCTTTGTTGATTTTCTATCTGGAAGATCTGTCCAATGGTGAATATTGGCTATTGAAGTCTCCAAATATTCTTATATTCAGGTCTATCTCTTTAGCTCTAGTAATAATTGCTTTATATATCTGGGTGCTCCAGTGTTGGGTGCATATTTCTTTACAATTATTATATCCTCTTACTGAATTGACCCCTTTATTATTATATAGTGACCTTTTTTCTCTTCTTATAGTTTTGGTCTTGAAATCTATTTTGTCTGATACAAGTATAACTACTTCTTATCTTTTTTGATTTCCATTGGCATAGAATATTTTTTCCCTCCCTTTATTTTCAGTCTGTGTGTGTCTTCATAGGTGAAGTGTGTTTCTTGTGATAACAGATCATTGTGTCTTTTTTAAAATTCATTCGGCCACTCTGTCTTTTTAATGGAGAGTTTAGTTCACTTACATTCATTGTTATTGTTGATAAGCAGGGGCTTACTCCCGCCATTTTAAAATTTGTTTTCTGGTTGTTTTGTTGTCTTCCGTCTTCCTTTTTTTCTGTCTTCCTTTTAGTGAAGGTGATTTTTCTCTGGTGATATGATTTAGTTTCTTGTTTTTTATTTTTTGTGTATGTATTGTTTGTGTTTTGGCTTGAGTGTACAATGATGCTTGCAAATACTATCTTATAATCTGTACATTTAAGCTGATAATAACACTTTTTACATAAACAAGCAAATGAAAACTAATAAAAACTCCATGCCTTAACTTCATCTCCCTGCTTTTAAAATTTTTGTTGTGTCTATTTATCTTATGTTACTGTCTATGTCTTGAAAAGCTGTTGCAGTTGTGATCTTTGATTGATTCATCATTTAGTCTTTGAATATAAGATAAGAGTAGTTCATACAACACAGTTACAGCGTTGTAATTTTCTGTGTACTTACTATCACCAATAAGTTTTGTACTTAGGGATGATTTCTTACTGCTTATTAACATCCTTTTCTTGTAGGGTAGGTCTGGTGTTGAGGAAATGCCTCAGGTTTTGTTTATATGAGAAAGTCTCTATTTCTTCTTTATGTTTGAAGGACATTTTCATCAGGTAGACTATTCTAGGGTAAAATATTTTTTTCCTTCAGCACTTTATTTTATTTTTTGAGGCAGGGTTTCACTCTTGTTGCCCAGGCTAGAGTGCAGTGATGCAGTCATGGCTCTCTGCAACCGCTGCCTCAAGAGCTCAAGCAATTATCCTGCCTCTGCCTCCCGAGTAGCTGGGACTACAGGTGTTTGCCACCACCCCCAGCTAATTTTTGTATTTTTTGTAGAGACAGGATTTCACCATGTTACTCAGGGTGGTCTCTAATTGCTGAGTTCAGGTGATCCACCCGCCTTGGCCTCCCAAAGTGCAGGGATTACAGACTCCTTCAGCACTTTAATTATGTCACACAACTCTCTCTTGGTCTGTAAGGTTTCCACTGAAAAGTCTGCTGCCAGATATATTGAAGTTCCACAGTATAATATTTGTTTATTTTTCTCTTGCTGCTTTTAGAATTATTTATCCTTGACCTCTGGGAGTTTGAATATTAAATCCCTTGAGGTAGTCTTCTTTGGGTTAGATCTGCTTGGTGTTCCATATCCTTCTTATACTTGAATGTTGATATCTTTCTCTGGGTTTGGAAAGTTCTGTATTATTTTCCCTTTGAATAAACTTTCTACCCCTATTTCTTTTTCCACCACCTCTTTAAGGGCAATAACTCTTAGATTTGCCTTTTGGGGGCTATTTTCTAGATCTTGTAGGTGTGCTTCATTGTTTTTTATTCTTTTTTTTCCTGCTCTATGTATTTTCAAATAGCCTTTCTTCAAGGTCACTAATTCTTTCTTCTGCTTGGTCAATTCTGCTATTAAAAGACTGATGCATTCTTCAGTATGCCAACTGTATTTTTCAGCTCCAGAGTTTCTGCTTCTTTTAAATTATTTAAACCTCTTTGTTAAATTTATCTGATAGAATTCTGAATTCCTTCCCTGTGTTATCTTGAATTTCTTTGAGTTTCCTCAAAACAACTATTTTGAATTCTCTTCCTGCAAGGTGACACGTCACTGTTTCTCTGGGATTGGTCCCTGATGTCTTACTTAGTTCATTTGGTGATGTCATGTTTTCCTGGATGGTCTGGATACTTGTAGATTTTCTTCTGTGTCTGAGCATTGAAGAGTTAGGTTGTTTATTGCAGTTTTCACAGTCTGGAACTGTTTTGTACCCATCCTTCTTGGGAAGGCTTTTCAGATATTCAAAAGGACTTGGGTGTTGTGACGTAAGTTGTATCTGCTTTAGTGGGGCATCCTAAACCCAGTAATGCTGTGATTTTTACAGACTTGTAGAGGTACCACCTTGATGGTCTTGGACAAGATCCCGAAGAATTCTCTGGATTACCAGGTAGAGACTCTTGTTTTCTTCCCTTGCTTTCTCCCAAACAGAGTCTCTCTCCCTCTGTTCTGTGCCACCTGGAGCTGGGGTTGGAGTGGCAGAAGCACTCCTGTGGCCACCAGCACTAGGGCTGCACTGGGTCTCACCTAAGGCCTACTGTAACCACTCCCTAGCTACTGCCTATGTTCACTCAGGGCTCTGAAGCTCTATAGTCTGCAGATGGCAAAACCAGCCAGGCCTTTGTCCTTCCTTTCAGGGAGACAATTTCTCCCAAGCCCCAGAGTGGGTCCAGAGGTGCTGTCTGGGAGCCAGAGACTAGAGTCAAAATCCTTAAAAGTCTATGTGGTATTGTATTTTACTGCAGCTGGGCTGGCACTCAAACCACAAGACCTAGTCCTTCCCACTCTTCCCTCCCCTTTCCAAAGGCAAAGGAGCTTTACCCTGTGGCCACCCCCACCGTAGGCCCAAGGGGAGTACTGCCAGACTATGGCTGATGTTCCTTTTAAGGCCCAAGGACTCGACTCATCAGTCAGCTTGTGGTGAATGGTGCCTAGCCTAGGACGCATCCTTCAGGGCAGGGGGCTCTCCTCTAGCCCAAGGAAGGTCCAGAAATGCTGTTCAAGAGCCAAGTCCTGGAACTGGGGACCCCAAGAGCCTGCTTGGTGCTCTACCGCTCTTGGCCTCAAGCTGATATCTTAGCTGCACCTTAGGGGGCAAGGTAGTATCTAAGGTACAATACAAAGTCCCTTTACTTTTCCTTCTGCTTTTCTCAAGCTGAAGGAGTATCATCCCATATCCACCACAGCTGGGAATGTGCTTAGTCTCACTTGAAGCCAGCAAATCTCAGTCTCACCCAATGCCTTTGATGTAGTACTTGGATATCACATCGGGTTATTCAGGACCCAAGGGCTCTTCAGTTTGTAGGTGATTAATCCTGTGAGGACTGGGTCCTTCCCTTCTAGGCAGTGGTTTCCCTCCTGGCCCAAGGTATGTCTGGACTTGTTGTCCAGGAGGTAGGGCCTGGAAAGGGGGACTCACAGCTCTGACCAGTGCCCTCTTCTGCTGTGGCTGAGCTGGTATCCAACTCAAGACAAAGTCCTCCCCACTCTTCTTTCTCCTCTCTTTGAACAGAAGGAAGGGGTCTCTTTTGGAGCCACAAGCTGTGCAGCTTGGGTTTAGGGGAAAGGTAAGGCCAGCCCTCCCTCACCTGCCACAGCTGGTGTCTCAGCATGTCCTCTAGTCCACTATCTCTGGGCTCAGGTCAGCCCTAGGGCTCACCTAGAAGTTGCAGCTCTTGTGGCCTAGACTACCTTTCAAGTTTATTTAGAGCCCAAGAGCACTTTAGCCCATGGTGGTGAGGCTGTGGGAACTCCCGTTCAGATGCTGGGATCAGGGATTCCCCTCTGGCTAAGGCTAGCTTAAATGTTCCCTTTGTGGGTGGACATCAGCTGAGTTTGGTCTGGTTTTGTTTTCTGCTATAACAGGGCAGCACTACGTTCAGTGTCTCACAGCTGCTGCGCTTTCCCTGTCCTCAGTGCACAAAAATGCTCTCTGCGCCGCCCTGCAGCTGCAAGGGGATGGGGGAGGGGGTCACATCAGTGATTTGAGACTGGTTTTCCTATCTCTTTCAGTGATATGAAGTTAAAACCAGGTACTGTGAGTGTTCACCTGGCTTTTGGTTCTTATAAAGGTGGTTTTTCAGTGTGTAGATAATTGTTAAATTGGTGTCCTTGTGGGAGGGACAATCAGTGGAGCCTGCTATTCTACCATTTTGCTCTTCCCCCTCCTCCTAAAAAGATTGAACATTAATATTAAAAATACACTAATACAAAACTAAAAATTTTGGTCCCTTATGTTAGAACAACAAGGTTTTCTTAAATTATTGGTTGGCTTTTAATAAAAATACATTTTTAATTAAAAATAAAAATTACATCTTTAAATTTTGTAATCTGTAGCTTTTTGAAATGTCTCAGATATATATCTCAGAAGTTCAATTTTTGCTGTACCTTGCTGCATGTGATTTGTGGTCATACATCATTGCCTTCTGTTCTTTCTCCTCTTAAAAAGATACATTTTCTTGTTTGTTTGTTTGACTGGGATGATAACTCTTTCCTTCAACATTTTTGTCAATTCCTGTAGTTTTTTTCCTCTGGTTCTAACTTTGCTGTCATGGCCTGATGCTGAAATGTTTATTTTGAAGGTCTAGAAAAGCAATGTTTTCTTCACATGTAATGTGATCTGTGCACCTGGCTTTGCTTGGTATGTCTAAATTGGTCAATGTAACCAGGAAGCTTCCCAAGCTGTTACTAAAAGCCATATATTTCCCATTTCAAGGTACTAGTTTTCTTGTTTACATTCCTCGAAAATATAATGTGTACTTGTAACCCTGAACACGGTCTTTCTATGTCTAATTAAATTCAAGTATCCTTTTCATCAGTTTTGACTTCCAGCTTATCCAAATGGGCTTCACTTAAGGAGCTGTAATCACAATACAGGAAGTTTTTCTGGACCTTTTTGACACTGGCATAAAAAAGAAAGATTTTACATTTTATCAAGATAATTCCTGTGTTGTCTTATTTAGATTTTTTTATTATTTAGGAAAACTGAGCTTTCAAAGGTTGAGGTTTTTGTGTCTTTTGATTATTGCTCTAGTTAAATAAATAGTTATTATTTTACGATGACCTGTGATTCTGTTTCAATTAAGTGTTTTAAACCTTTTGACATTTTTGGCAGCTTTCTCCAGGATTAATATCCTACATTAAGTCTCTTGGGTCTAAAATTAACTTTTAGATTTTCCAATTGGGCTTCTGAGAAAACTCACAAAATGTCTCTCATCTTGCAGAGATTAAATGATTAGATTATTTGGTAAATTTTATGTAAAATATTATCAAATGATAGATTACAGTAAATATATAAGCTTTTGTTATCCATAGTTATTGTCTAAATTTTTCTTAAAAACATTTGCAGTCAGCTTCAGTCTAAAATTGCTTTTCATGAAAAAGAATCTAATAAGTATAGGTAAAAAGAGGAGACAATAATAATACAATTAATGAAAGAATATGCAACTGTATGTCCTGGTTTTATTGGATGATTATCATGTTTTTTATTTTCAATCCTTAATTCATTTTGATTTTATTAAGTATATTCTGCTATATATAATTTGTAGTATCTTTGTAGTAGTTCTGTTGAATATTATGTTAAGGGCAGGAAAAGACAATGTTATGTTTGGTGCAGAATAAAGGTGAATAGGCAAAACTTCACTCCTGCTGAAAACCAAAGCACATTTCAAAGCCAATTCAGATTCAGCAGAAGAGGAGATAGTCTCCACTCATTGATGGAGAAGCAGTACAGAATTTGTGGCGGTCTCTAACCCACTACTCTTTCCTTTCAAGCTGACTACTCTCACTTAAGTTTCTCTCATTTGACAGACCCAGGCCCTTCTGCTTATCAAACCCTCTCTTTTGTATGGTTTTGGATTATGTTAGCTAAATGGGAAACTGCATGAAGTTTGGAAGGTGGAAATTAAGTAGTAATCCTTACTCTCCGAAGATCTCTAGTATTAGCTGTGGTGACAAGACAGACTCATGAATGGCAAGATTCCTGCTTGTCCTCACTTTCTTCCACTCCATGTTCAGCTCCTACAGAACTGCGGATCCTGCTAACCAAGAGTGGCCCCAAGTCCCTCACTAGACACTGGCTGAAGACCCATAGAATCAACAGTTTCTTAAGAACTTCTCTACCAGCTCACCCTTTGTAGTTCCACCTCAGTGCCTGCACTTGCTGACTTCTTATAGTGACTGATGGGTATCTCCTCTGATTCTTCTATTCTCTCTTTCAATACTATCCTTACCCATTGCCTCCTCCAAATGTGTAAGGCCTAATTTCTATGACAAATCCCTTATCCCATAACTCTTCAGAGCTCAGCTTCTCTGATTAATCCCTGACAGATACACGCAGATAACTATCTTCTTTAAAAACTTTACAACTAATTTTTAAAATATCTGAAATGCAGCATTTAGAATGATATAAGGAAGAGTTGTAGAGCATTATCATTGATTTTATTTCTATTGCAATAAAATTCTGGGGCCAATTATATTTAGGGAAAAATAAATACAAAACAATATAGACAAAAGTATTTATTGATTACAATGCTTGTATGGAGACTACACTGTATACTGAGGAGAAAACTGTAAAATCAACTGAATAAATAATCTCTTACCAAAAGTCACTTGACTAACTTAGAAGACTCTATTATTTATAATCTCAGCACCTTAACACATAAAGGTTTACTTTTGCTCTCACTATGTGTCCAGTGTAGGCCACTTTGAAGATTTGCTGTATAGCATCACTTGGGTGCACACGCCAATAGAGGCTCTACCATCTTGGAGCTGTGCCATCTGGCACAGGAAGCCTTATAGTGGTAGAGACAACTGGTGAGTTGAACTCCCACTCTTCTATACTTTTGCTCAGAAGTGACACATTTCACTTATTTTCCAGCCAAAACTATTCACATGGGTCTATCTAACTGCAAAGAGGTAGGGATATGTGAGGCTGAAGATGGAATGTTTGATGAGGGCAACTCACTCTGCCATAGAGAGGGAACAAACATTAAAACCTGAAAGACATTTTCACAAAATATCTTAAAGTACAAATAAATAATAAAAGAAACTCTGGGAAGACTGATGAAAAGAGTGATTTAAATTAGTTGATGAATTATTATGGCTAGAAACTTTCTTGAAAAATGAGGACTACTGAGGCAAGATGCAAAGAATATGTTGAGTGTGGATTAGTGTTCGTAGATAGTCAGACCCCCTGGTAAAAGCAGGAAGTTAGAGGTTGATGATGAAATGCTGGAAATTAAGTTCCTATGAGAAAAGATTCTCATACAGGTAAGACAATAATGAGAAAAGTAGCTTAAAATCAGTCACCCAACAGTTAAGGTAGGATGGTTGATGAGAAGGGCTTTAACTGTATGTATTAGTAATTTGGCTCTGCAGGTTAAAAAATTCTAGTGGATTCTGGAGTGTGTGTACATGGCCAAACTAAAAAAAAAAAAGAAAAGAAATTAGTCTAGCGACCATGTGAAGAGTAGAGACAGAAGGCTGACAGTCAAATACATTAGTATGTTCTTACAGGATATTAAAATCTCATATCTGGCTGGGTGCAATGGCTGACACCTGTAATCTCAGTACTTTGGGAGGCCAAGGTGGGCCGATCACTTGAGATCAGGGTTTCAAGACCAGCCTGGTCTATATGGCAAAACCCCGTCTCTACTAAAAATACAAAAATTAGCTGGGCATGGTGGCACACACCTGTATTCTCAGCTACTCAGGAAGCTGAGGCAGGATAATTGTTTGAACCTAGAAAAAAAAAAAACTTCTTATCGCTATGAAACAATTTTTTACTGAAACTAACTGTAAAGTTGTCTGCTGGGTTATATATAGTCTTACGTTCTTGGACAAGTATTTCCTTGAACAAACAGCTAAGTCTTGTTGACATAGGTGGCCTCAGTTCTCAGTCCTAATAGTTGAGTTGTTGATAAAAGTGGTTTCAAATCTCACAAGGAAAGTTTGTAGAGAGAATAATAAGACTTAGCAGCAAATTGACTGGAAAAGGGTTGAAGGAGTCTAAATTGACTCCAAGAGTCAATTTAAGAACTTGGAGGATCAGAGGATGCTTTACGGGAAGAGTCTGTGATCTTTGTTGCTAATATAAATGACGTAGAAAAATTATATAGCCTCATGGTTATGAAAACAGGAAACTGAAAATTTAGTATTCAGTCTCCAATAATTGACAGTTGAAATCCTGTGAATGAGTGAATGTAGAAGGAAGAAGAATGGGAGTGAAAGTAGTGAAAAAATAAAGACTTGAAAATTACCTCAGGGATGATAGTAGCTAATAGCCAGTAATGAATAATAAATTAATGCCTGAAAGGGAAAGAAGATAAGAAGGAGAGTGCTATTATGGAAGTTACACATGATAGGTAGATTTATGGTATAAAATTAAAGAGGTAAATGTTTGGCTGTGGTCTAGTATGAGACTTTTATTTCACAAATTAGAAAACTGAGATTAAGAATGACTGATTTAGGCAAGACCATTCCACTGGTTACCAGCAGAGCTAGAATTTAAAGCAGGTCTTAGTTTTTGGCTGGCCTGTGTAACACACCGGCTGGCCACGTCCATGCAAGTAAGACATCAACATGTATAAGCACTTAGAAGAGAGTGCTGGCTTTGCCCTGGAGGAAAGTAATAAATGACTCTCAACTTAACACTTGCTGAAAAGTTATGACAAAACAGACCTGAAAGTGCTTGCCTTGAGGAGTGAAATTGGTGAGGAGAATAAGAGGTAGTGGATAGAGACTACCTATTTGCATAGCTTAGGCAGACTGGCCTGATAATTAAGAGGCATTTGTTTGTATTTAGGTCATCTTAGCTGAATTAAGGCTTAAGCTTTTTTAAGTGAACAATGTATATATTTCATATTTTTAGAACTCTCCAGTTTTATTTCTTCCAGATTTTCTTGTGGCATAGCCTGTCACAAAATTCAACCTTAAAAAGGTCAAACCTATTATAAAGCAAAAGTGTATGAAATTTTTCCTTGTTCTTTCTTTATGCTTTCTGTCGTAATTTTGAATGGTTAATTGGAAACCAACTTCAACTTCAAATGCCCAATTCTAGTGGAAGACAAATGCCCCTTGTAACATGGCTAGCTGACTGTCAGATCTGCTCAGCAAAGCTATGTCCTTACTTATTTGGGGGACCTTGAGAGTGAATTTAACCAATAATACCTAGTTCATCAGTGTAAGGGAGGGCAGGTTTGCTTTCAGCTTTGCTGTCAGTAGATCAAGTACGAAGTAGTCCTTTAACAGTTTCCTCGGTTAGTGTTAAAAATTTCTTTGAGCTAAGGTGCCTGATTTTTACAGTAATTATGAAGGTCCCACTACTATTAGCCCCCAAATAACCCTGAAATCTGTTTTGCCTGCAGGTATAAGGCCAGGCGCTTATACACTCAACAGTCTTTTGGGGGCAGGTTTACGCCTCTCTCTGCCTAATACCAGGGCTTGTGTTCTCAGTCAGGGAAGTCCTGGATCCTTTATTTACCAGCCACTATCGTTAGTGTGAAACATATTTTACTGGGGGGCCATTGTTTTCAACTGTGCTGCTGCACTAGGCCCCAGCAGACCAGACAAAACTAAATAAGGCTTACTTGTGCAAAACGCTACATAATCAAACTGAAACTTTAAGAAAGCTGCTAAATCCCTAAACAGATGGGTTTTCCCTAAAAACAGGAGATTCAAAGCAACCAATTAGAAAAGGCACAGTCAACCTAAATTATCATAATAAGGAAATTCTCTCTGCTCTAACCCTTACAAGAAAAATAATCTGAAGTAAACTGATGTTAACCAGTCCGATTTGTTCTATTATTCTGTTTCTGTGTTCCCATCTTACAAAAACCAACTGTTCTGCCATGACCAGTGGAGCACTCATTCTATTTTGTGGAATAAAATGCTGCCCAATTCTAGAATTACAAATAAAAAACAATTAGATCTCTAAACTAAGTTTGTTGCAATTTTATCTTCTGACATTAGGTAAAACTCTCTAGTCTTTACTTTTTTCCATTTTAAAATTGAGCTAGTAATAGAACTTGTTGTGCAAGATTATGTTGAAGATTAAATGAGAACACATTTGCGAAGCCTTCAATATATTGACTAACTTGATGAAAGCTTCAAAACTAATAAATGGTGGAAATTGGATTCACACTCAGTTCTGTATCTTTCCTTCACAGTAAATATAATATCTGTTTCATGAGTGTAGCTGGTTACTATGGCTATAATTGTTGTGTGTAAAAAAATCTGTAATTCATGTGGAATTGCAAAAGTTAATTAGACCCTACTCTTCTCTGTATCACCATAGCATATCACAATGCAGTTGAAGAGGGGGGATATTCATACAAGTGACAAAAACTACTCAGGAGGCGGTAATATGTGCCAACTGAACAGTGGACATTGGCTGTGTGAGGGAAACTGAAACTATTTCATCCCAAAACATACTTTTTTGACATATTTCAAGATGGCTATTCAGAGGAGCTAGAAATACAAGACTAGCTAAAAAGCTGTCTTCTGAAGGAAGATTTGCATCTGTAGAGGAAATAGTCAAGTAAACGACAGATGCAAACAGACTTTCTCTGAAGGCCCCCCGTCCGTATCTAGAAACCTTTAAAGGTGTGACAAACATTTACCACTGGCTACCATCTATTCCTTCTGAGAGCTGCTACCTGTGAGAATTCATCTGTACCTTATTTAGGGAGGAGAATAGGGCCTGTAGCCAGGGAACCTAAGGATTTCCTAGAACTAAGTCAAATGGAAGCACATCAGCTATGACAGGAAACATTCTCTTCATTTACGTAGGGCGTACACTGAGTAAAAGACTTTGTAACTTTACTTCATCCTCTTCATTTACATAGGGTATACACCAAGCAAATAACTTTGTAACTTCACTTTAGCCTCTTCATTTACATAAGGCATACACCACGTAACCAATGGAAACCTCTAGAGGGTATTTAAACCCCAGATAACTCTGTAACTGGGCTCTTGAGCCCACTCATCCCACTCTCACTCTGTGGAGTGTACTTGCATTTTCAGTAAATCTCTGCTTTTGTTGCTTCGTTCTTTCCTTGCATGTTTTGTCCAGTTCTTTGATCAAGACCCCAAGAACCCGGACACGCTCCACTGGTATCATTATCTGTATAAAAAGAATGCCTTTTCTGCAGGTCTTTCCTCTTCTTCCCATAACCTGTCTTTGCCATGATCCAATCCTCTATTCTTTCTGTAACCTCAAGATGATACAAAAGTGTCAGCATCTTGCCTTTCTTTGGGTTTTTATATTGTGTATGAATCTTGTGTATATAATAAAATTTTTATGCCCTTTTTCCTGGTAATCAGTCTATTATCAGTTTGTTTTACAGACTCAAATTATTGAAACTTCAAGGGAAAATTTTAAACTTCCCTACATGTGTTAAGATTCAGTTTGAAGGAGAGATATGCGAACAGGCAAACTTCATGAAGAAGGGACTTGAGCTAGACTTAGAAGGGGTGGTCAATTTTGAATAAAAAGAATGAAAAAGGGAGAATATTCCAAGCCAGAATTAAGTACAAGCAGAGGAGCTTGTATGGACCAGGGAGATTTGGCTGCTGGAGTGATTGAGTAGAGAAACAAGGAGAAATACATAGAAAGAGAGAGGCAGTGATGAATGGTAGAGCACTTTGCATGCCAGGCTAAAAGTTTGACTTTTCCATGAACAATGGTAAACTGATAAAATGGTTAGTGCTTTTGCATATGTGTTTTATCTTCTGATCAAATTTTCTTAAAACTGCTGTCTGAATTTGTGCCATGTTTTCAGCTGGCATTGGCCCGAATCTTATTAATTAGCTAAAAATCACAATTTCTCTAAGTTTAGTAAGATTTATCTGTCCATCCATTTTATAGTGAAAGCAGAAATCAAAAATGCAGATTTGAAACCCCCTTAGAAAATATTTAAATAAACTACTACAACAGAAAAATTATGAAGAAGAAAATTCCTGACCAAATTATTTTCGATAGGAAAAAGAAAACCTTTATTTATAGAATAACTAAAAAACTGTTTATGTGGAATATTTTCTTTAATATTGTTAGGATAAAGCTACATTAAATCTAAAGTCTAGAAACATAATATTGTCATTGTCCGCTGCTAGTTTTCTTTTCTGTTTTTTTTTTTTGTTTTTTGTTTTTTTGTTTTTTTGTTTTTTTGAGACAGAGTCTCGCTTTGTCGCCCAGGCTGGAGTGCAGTGGCATGGCGCAATCTTGGCTCACTGTAACTTCTGCCTCCCGGGTTCACGCCATTTTCCTGCCTCAGCCTCCTGAATAGCTGGGACTACAGGCGCCCACCACCACACCCGGTTAATTTCTTTGTGTAATTTTAGTAGAGACAAGGTTTCACTGTGTTAGCCAGGATGGTCTCAATCTCCTGACCTCGTGATCCGCCCGCCTCGGCCTCCCAAAGTGCTGGGATTACAGGCATGAGCCACCACACCTGGCCCTTCTGCTAGTTTTCTATAGATTCTAACTTTGTTGACATTATAGGTGATTCATAAAACTAATCATAGATATCACTTGATCAAACAAAACCAATACTACTCCTAAGCCTACACACTCACACCCTTTCTATCATATTCTATAATTCTTTTCTTCTCCATTTTAACAAACCAATCATCTAGAATTTTTTTTTAAAGTCTGGTAAGTGTTTATAGGAATACATTCAGCTCTGTATTTAAAGTTCACCAACAATTTGTCCTTATAAGTCTCTACTTTTAGAGGTTTATCACTTAGCAAAATAGAAATACTGTTATAGTTTAAAATGTGGTGTATGTGAACTCTGTCAAGAGAAGTTGGTCACACAAGCTTTTGTTTCTCTTTAAAAGAGGTTATTTTGACTACATGTTAGTTTCAGAAAAGCTGAGCTAAAATGGGAGATTGTCATTTTTACACTTACTCTCTCACAGCTACTAAAATAGCTCCACTTAATTGAGAAAAACCATTTTAGGTCACTACACTGTTAGGTGGTGGGAAATATATATAGCAGCAACAAGAAGTTGACATTTTAAAGGTAGATAAATTCTGAAGAGTAATAGGCTGCTGATTGACTACAAATATACATATACTAAGAAGAGTTTAAATAAGGGTTATTTCTTGAGAATATATTTTGTACCATCTCAGAGTCATAGACTGTTTTATTCAAAATTCACTATAGTCATCTATATGTGCATATGCCTTTTAATATATTTTCATTTTTTAATTCACAGAGGCTTACATTTATTTAAAGAGTATTAAAAGGATATTGTTTGGTTATCAGGTTTAATATAAACATTTTTGTTATTCAAAGGAGAAAGGTCAGTGTTAAAAATATTATGACAAAAAGGAGTTTATTAGTAAATTGTGGATATTTGGTCACTTAAATTCTATTGATAATGTTATTTATAGTTTACAAAGCTTAATAGCTTTTAAATCACATTCTAAGAAGATTTTGTAACTTTACCTTCACAATAATAAGGAAAACAGAAGAAATGTTATTTCCATTTTACAGTAAATACAAATAGAAGCTTCAAAATTCATACTTCCTTTTATTCAGTTACTCTTACCTTTCCCAGTAGTCTATTATGAAATCAGAGTCTATTTCTGGATATAAATATTTCATTGCTTTGTTTCTGGCATCAATAGTTCTCTCTCCTTACATCATCCATGGCCCTAATATTAGCTGGGAAATGAGGTTGAGACATTGCTTCTCTAAACAATGGGAGCATCTTGCTATCCCCCAGCCAACAGAGCTAGGTAGCCAGAAGCAGAAGGTGGGAGTTACCCTAGCTGTTTAGTCAATTTCCTCTGTCCTTATTTTGTTCAAACTTGCTTCCTGGATTAATATCCTTTCATTTTCTTCCTTACCATGTTACTGCCAATTTCTAAATTACCTGATTATGCTGTGAACACAAAAACATTCAACAGTTTAAGGCAGTTTTGTTTTTGTGTATGTAGTTAGTAACACTGCTGCAGCGGTTGTTATAGTAACCAGTTCTCTTCAGCAGGGAAAGGACTATGGACATTTGACAATGCTTAAGATTTAATAGAATGAGATTAAGTTTCTAAATTTCATATTTTATTAGGAGATGAATCCAGGGCAAATGCTGTCTTTTAAAGTCTCTATTTTTAAGTAAACAGTAAGTTAAAAGCAGGTGCTATCTATTCTTTTTCCAAAATTAACCTGGATAAATGCAGTCTCCATCAGACACTTTAATTGGTTTATGTAGTTATTCCGCAAATGCATATTCAGATATTTCACAAAAAAGTGCCCAAGTGCTATGGTTTGAATATTTGTCCCCTCCAAAACTCATGTGGACATTTAATCCTTAATGTAGCAGTATTGAGAAATTAAGCCTTTAAGAGGTAATTGGGTCATGAGGGCTCTGACTTCATGAATGCATTAAGCCATTTATGGATTAATAAACTAATGGTTTATCATGGGAGTGGGACTGATGGCCTTAGAAGAAGTAGAAGAAGAAGAAAAGAGACCTGAGTTAGCACACTCAGCCCCTTTGCCATGTGATGACCTGCCCCCCACCTTGGGACTCACATAGTCCACAACAGCAAGAAGGCCCTCACCAGATATGAATCCTCAACCTTGGTATTAACACTAAAGCAACTCCACTTTGCATGCTAACCTGCCGTCTTTGTTTCTGATTAACTCCTGTTTCAGGAAGACCTGTAAGATTTTCAGTTTGTCTATTGTTCCTTCTGTGAGAGCACATATTTACCATAAACCTTGCCCTTAGATCAAACAACATTTTATGTGATCATACTTCAGTTGTCCTACACATCCTTTCTGAGTCACCCTTTCCCTATGGTAGATAAGCCCTGGTTCTGGGGGGATAATGGCGTGGGGATCCACCATCTCTCTCCGCTGCCTGAGACACAAACATGACTTCTGTTCATAAATTCCTATTAAATGTTTCTTTCTAAGAAATGGATTCGTCAGCTTCTTTCTTCACAGAAAGTCAGCTTCCTCAGACTTTGGGGGTAGGTTTACATAGGCCTACATACTACAGAACACTTGGATTTCTCAGCCTCCGTAACTGTATTAAGTAAATTCCTTTTTGTTACAAATTATGGCTTCAGATATTCTGTTACAAGCAACAGAAGACAAACTAAAGTACCAAGTTACCCAGAAAAATGAGCACATTTCATAAAGTCAGTTTTGTATGACATGGCCACGCAGAGCATACAATTTACCAAGAAGAGCAAGCTTTGCAGTGAGCACTGCCCTCTTTTGCTTCTTTATTTTTTATTTCAATAATATTTTCTATTGGTTTGAAAAGTTCTTTACTCTCTTTTTATTCTCAATTGTCTCCCAGAAATAGCACCATTAACAGATCTATTTTTATGCAATTATAAGAATATAAATATTTAGGCCAGGCCCAGTGGCTCACCCCTGTAATCCCAGCACTTTGGGAGGCCGAGACAGGCAGATCACGAGGTCAGGAGATCGAGACCATCCTGGCTAACACGGTGAAACCCCGTCTCTACTAAAATTACAAAAAAAATTAGCTGGGCGTGGTAGCTGGCGCCTATAGTCCCAGCTACTAGGGAGGCTAAGGCAGGAGAATGGGGTGAACCTGGGAGGCAGAGCTTGCAGTGAGCCGAGATCGTGCCACTGTACTTCAGCCTGGGCAACAGAGCGAGAGTCTGTCAAAAAAAAAAAGAAAAGATGAATATTTATAGCTGTGTTGTGCTTAAATCAATGTTTATACAAACAATAGGAATCAAAAATATTTATATTTGATCATAGGGACTTTTTATTCACCTAATATATCATGAAATAATTTCCATGTTTAAAGCTATACATTATTAAAATAAAGAGTGTATGGTATGTTTTGCTGTAATTTATGTAAGCAGTGCCTATTAATGAAGAGTTAGGTGCTTTCTAACTTACTGCCCTGATGAATCAGTGTTCTGAGTGCTCTCATCCCCAGAATATGTATTGATAGATGAACTGCTGGATCGTAAGATAGGAAATCTCATATTTTATAGAAATATTTACAAGTTGCAGTGAGCCGAGATCGTGTCACTGCACTCCAGCTTGGGCTACAGAGTGAGACTCAGTCTCAGGAAAAAAAAAAAAAAAAAAAAAGAAATATTTACAAGTTAGGATTATAAATGATTTAGCTGCTATCCAAAGTATGTCACAATTCACAGTGCTTTTAATTATATATAAATGTGCTAATTTCTTCATACCTTTATCAATGACAGATAGTATCTCTCTTTCAAAAATATATCACCTATCTGGTAGGCAAAAAAAAAAAAGTTACATTGATGCCTTTACTTATACTTCCCCTTTTTTGGTTTGTGTTTAGTGGGGTGTGGTGGTTCACGCCTATAATTCCAGCTACCTGGGAGGCTGAGACAAGAGAGTTGCTTGAACCCAGGAGGCAGAGGTTGCAGTGAGCCAAGATCGTGCCACTGCACTCCATCCTGGGTGACAGAGGAAGGCTCAGTTTCAAAAATAATAATATTAATAATAATAATAATATTTTCTAAGCTGTTACGTCTGTTCACCTAACAGAAAATTTAACATTTTTGTTGGCTGATCCTCTATCCAAATAACTTACTAAATGACTATGTTAGCTATTGTTATATTTTACAAAGTACTCGGTAATGAAAGTGTTTCTTATATTTTACCATTTAAATGCATGCTGCCATAAGTTTCTATGTGATATATTTTATCAAGTTAAGCAAGTTGTTTTTCTTATGCTAAAATACTTAAAAGCACTTGTTTGGTGTTAAGAGTGGAATCGTATGAACTTCTTTTCAAGTGAAAGCTGATTATATTAAAATTCTAGTCCCAGCAACATAGAGAAGCTTATGTTGGACTAATTCTCCCACACAAAAAGAGCACAGGCTCTGTATGAGTATATAACTTTTTGAGGACACTGAACAATATAAAAACAGAAACTAGAGGAGTTGGATCCTTGAAAGATGGGCAAAGCACTTAGTGAGATCTTTTACATGTATATGGCTTTTCCCCTGTAGCACTCTGTAGTCTCCAAGAAGGGAGATTTAGAAATGAGTTTAAAAAAAATCACTCTTTGCCCGACCCCTAAGTATACATATATAGGCACAACTCCAGGGAGCTGAGCAGAAAGCAGTAGCTTGAGGGAAAAAAAAACAAAACACAAAAAACCTAGGCATATATTTCACATTTTGCATAATTAAAGGGACATAGAGTTCAGAATATGACTTCAGCCAAGTTAGAGACTGTGTGTAAATGTCTTGGTTTTGCAATGAAAACTTATGAAAAATCACAATAGTAAACACTATGTAACAGAACAAAGGGATTTACCTTGGACTGAGGGCTAAACTGAAGTAGACAAGCATTAATAAAATTTAAATCAAGTCTCCAAAATTTCAACGTGGTCTGTACATAATTTAATAGAGCAGAATTTATACATTTCAGAGGACAATAACATAGCCTGTACAATGTGTCATCCACCATAATTAGGATACAGCAAGCAGAAAATTACTAAACATGCCAGGAACAAGGTTATGTGATCCATAATATTCAAGGGGAAAAACAATGGGTCGAAAAACAGCCACTGTGACTCAGAATTGTGATTGGAAAATAAGAAATTACAGGCAAGGATTGTCTTCATAAGTGAACATGAGGATTGGGAAATGTCAGGAGAGAAACAGATTATTATACTTTATTCTACCTGAGGAATGGAGAGAAAAAAGAAAAACAAATCTTAAAAGACATGAGGGGCAATAAGGAGCAATTTACTAATAACATACATATGATTTAAATTGCAGGAGGAAAAGACAGATGGGACAGAAAAATATTTGAAGAAACAATGGTCTAAAATTTCCTAAATTTGGTGAATAATATCAAAAAGCTTAATGAATCCCAGTCATGATAAATGCTAGGAAAACACACCTAGGTGCTTCAATTCCGTTACAAATCAAAGAGAAGAGGAAATCTTTAACGCAGCTACAGGAAAAAAATAGGATACATTTCATGTAAGGGAACAGCTATAGAAATGATGCTGACTTCCCATAAGAAAAGTTTGCGGCCAGAATAGAATGGAACACGTTTAAAATACTGGAGGAAAAAAAAATCCTGTTATACTAGAATTCTATGTTCAATAAAAATATTCAAAAATGAATAATAAAGTTGTTTCAGATAAATAATAGGTGAAAAAAATTGTCAAAAGCAGAGCTGTTCTATACAAAGTACTTAAGGAAGTTTTTCAGGATAAAGGGGAATGATAGATGGAAACCAAGTTCTACACAAACAAAAATTACTAAAAAGAGTACATATGTTATCAGACAGCTTTTACTCTATTGTTATATACACATATTAATCTCATGAAAGACATTTATTTTAAAATAATAGCAAGGAACATGTATTTGAGAGGAGGTATAGAATTAAGATATATGAAATAAACAAAAAGTGGGGGAATGCTAATTGGACATGTAACGACATTTCTACATGTTGTTATTTGTGAAGTAATAGGATAGTTTTCGAATGCAGACTGTGGAAAGTTACAGATCCACATTCTAAATAAACACCAAAAAATACAAAAAGGTATGGCTAAAATGTTATTAGAGGAGATAAAATGGAACATTAAAAATATTTCATTTCCATACAATGGCAGGGGCATGGGAACAGAGGAACAAAAAGCAGTTGTGACAAATAGAAATCAAATGCTAAAATGCTGAAATTACAGCCAAACTCATCAATATTTAAATTAAATGTAAGTAGATTGAATACTTCAAGGAAAAGCTTTTCATACTGGATTTATGAAAAACAAGAACCACCTATTTGTGTTCTACAAAAAAAAAAAAAAATGGAAAACACAAAAACACATACAGGTTGAAAGTAAAGTAATGGAAAGTATTAAGAAAACTGTTGTGACTGCCAATATCAAAGAAGATTTCAAGAAGAATGCCAAGTAAAGGGTTCTATCGTGATGATAAAAGAGCCAACTAATTGAGAAAATACAACTATTAAATGGGTATGAAACCAATAACAAAGCTTTCCAATTCATGAAGAAAATTATGTCAGAACAGAAGTGAAGTATCTACAGATTTATATTAATATCAGAGATGTACTCCATTTTCAAATAGAAAAGGTAGATCCTCCCAAAAAATATAGATCTATATGATTGAACAATACTATCAACTAACTTTTTGCTAACAAACTTGCCCTAATTGACATTTTTAGATCACTACACCCAACAAAAATACTATGTGTGGCTCTTTCACCAAGACTGACCAAATGCTGAGCCAGAGTGGAATTAAATTAGAAATCAATAACAAGTAGATAACTTACACAATTCTAGAGATTTTGAAACATGGAGATTTGAAAATGAGCTACTAAATGATCCATGGACTGAAGAAAAATTATAAGGTAAATGTGAAAAAATATTTTGTGATGAAAAAAATGAGAACACAACATATAAGAATATGCGAGATTTAGGGAAAGCAGTCCTTGGAGTGACATTTAAGTTTGAAATGCTTAAAAGAAAAAAGGCTTAAAACTAATGCACTGTGCTTCCACCTTAAGAATCTCAAAAGAAGAGCAAAGTAAACAAAATTAATTTTAAAAGGAAATGATAAAAATCAGAACATAAATCAATGAAGTAGAAACAATAGACTAAATCAAAGAAATCGTGATTCTTTGAAAGATTTCTAAACATGATAAGTTTCATGAGTTACAAGTTATAAAGAGAAAAAAATTTAGCAACATAAATTATGAATGAGAAGATATAAACAACTTTATAACTTAAATGATTTTCCTTGAATAATAGAAATTATAAGAATTTAATAAAAACTTTAAAATGTAATAGTTCTATATATATATTTAGAAATTGAATTTATAGGCCAGGCGCAGTGGCTCACGCCAATAATCCCAACACTTTGGGAGGCCGAGGCCAGAGGATCACGAGGTCAGGAGTTTGAGATCAGCCTGGCAAACATGGTGAAACTCCGTCTCTACTAAAACTACAAAAATTAGCCTTAGCCGGGTGTGGTGGCAGACACTTGTAATACCAGCTACTCAGGAGGCTGAGGCAGGAGAATCACTTGAAACCAGAAGGTGGAGATTGCAGTGAGCCGAGATCATGCCACTGCACTCCAGACTGGGCAACAAGAGCAAAACTCCGCCTCAAAAAAAAAAAAAATTAAATTTATAATTAAACTTTCTACAAAGAAAATCCTGGGCACGTATGACTTCACTGATGAATCTTTAAAAATATTTAAGGAAGAAAAAATATCATTCCTACACAAACTCAGACAAAAGAGGCCGAAGAATACTTCCTAATTCATATTAGGAAACCACTGCAGCTCTGATACCAAAACAAATAAAAACATCCCAAGAAGAAAAAAAAATTAAGACTAATATCTTTCATGAATATAGACAAAAAAATCTTAAAATATCAAATTGTCCTACGATATGTAAAAAGGATAGTACACCTCATAAGATTACATTCACAATAGGAATACAAGGTTTAATATAGAAAAATTAATATAATTCATCATTTACAGACTAAAGGAAAAGTTCATATGGTCATTTAGTTAGAAGCAAAAATAAGCTTTCTAAAAAAATACATAAAAAGCCTCAGCAAACTCTGGATAGAAGAAAACCTGCTAAAGAACATTTACCAAAATCCTATAGCTAATATTGTATTTAATGATGATATATTAAATGTCATCCTCCTAAAACAGAGAGAAGGATAAGATTGTCTGTTCTATTTCTATTAATTTTGTACCGGTCATACTAACAGTGTAGGGGACAAGATAAATACAATTTAATATACAGACAGGATGAAGTAAAATAGCCTAACCTCACAAATGACATAATTTTGTAGGCAGAAAATCCTTAACCATGTACAAAGACTACTACCAATAAAACTCAAAGCATCCCACCTGTCCATCAACAGAGGAATGTAAAAACAAAATATGTTATATTGATATGATAGGATGACAATAGTAAGCAAGAATGTACTGCTGACACAAAAATAACATGGATAAATCTCAAAAACATAATGTTGAGTTGAATAAAAGTCCCATATTAGAGAATCCATTGGCAGGATCCTGTTTCTACAATGATGAAGAACCAGCAAATAGAAGTCAGAGCAGTGGTTGTTAATGAGTGGCAGTGTTTGAAAGGGAACATAAGGAAACTTACTGGGGTGATGGAAATTTTCCTGATCTTGATGGATTAATAGGTTGCATGAGAAATTACATGTATCAAAACTCATTGAAATTCTTAAAATTTGTGCATTTCATTGTGATATGGTTTGGCAGTGACCTCCCCTAAATCTCTTCTTGAACTGTAGCCCGCATAATCCCCATGTGTCATGGGAGGGACCAAGTGGAAGGTAATTGAATCATGGGGGTGGGTTTTTCCTGTGCTGTTCTTGTGATAGTAAGTCTCACCAGATATGACAGTTTTATAAAGGGCAGTTCCAGTGTGCACACCCTCTTGCCTGCCACCATGTAAGATATACCTTTGCAACTCCTTCGCCTTCCTCAATGATTGTGAGGCCTCCCCACACATGTGGAACTGAGTCCATTAAACCTCTTTTTCTTTATAAATTATCCAGTCTTGGGTATTTCTTCACAGCAGTATGAAAATGGACTAAAACAGTAAATTGGTACTAGTAGAGTAAGGTACTGCTATTAAGATACCTGAAGCAACTTTGGAATTGGGTAACACGCAGAGGTTAGAACAGTTTGCAGGGCTCAGAAGAAGACAGGAAGATGTGGGAAAGTTTGGAGCTTCCTAGAGGCTTGTTGAATGGTTTTGACCAAAAAGTCCAGACTCAGGTGGTCTCAGATGGAGATGAGGAACTTGTAACAACTGGAGTAAAGGTCACTCTTGCTGTGCAAAGAGACTGGTGACATTCTGCTGCTGCCCTAGAGATCTGTGGAACTTTGAACTTAAGAGAGATGACTTAGGGTATCTAGTGGAAAAAATTTCTAAGTGACAAAACAGTCCAGAGGAAAGACAGCATAAAAGTTTGAAAAATGTGTAGCCCAATGGCTGGCTGCATAAATTTACACAAGTAATGAGGAGACGAATGTTAATCACCAAGACAATGGGGGAAAATGTCTCCAGGGCATGTCAGAGACCTTCACAGCAGCTCCTCCCATCACAGAACTGGAGGCCTAGGAGGAAAAAATGGTTTCATGGGCTGGACCTAGGTCCCCCCTGCTGTGTGCAGCCTAGGGACTCGGTGCCCTGTGTCCTAGCCACTTCGGCCATGGCTAAAAGTGGTCAAGGTACAGCTCAGTCTGTGACTTCAGAGGGTGCCAGCCCCAATCCTTAGCAGCTTCCACGTGGTGTTGAGCCTGTGGGTACACAGAAATTAAGAATTGAGTTTGGGGAACATTTACCTAGATTTCAGAGGATGTATGGAAATGCCTAGATGTCCAGGCAGAATTTTGCTGCAGGGGCAAAGCCCTCATGGAGAACCAATGCTAGGGCAGTGCAGAAGGGAAATGTGGGGTCAGAGCCCCCACACAGAGTCCCCACAGGGGAACTGCCTGGTAGAGCTGTGAGAGGAGAGTCACCGTCCTCCAGACCCCAGAATGGTAGATCCACCAGCAGCTTGCACTGTGCACCTGGAAAAGCTGCAGGCACTCAATGTGTAAAAGCAGATGGGAGGAAGGCTGTATCCTGCAAAGCCACAGGGGCAGAGCTGCCTAAAGCCATGGGAGCCCATCTCTTTCATCAGCGTGACCTGGATATAAGACATGGATTCAAAGCAGATCATTTTGTAACTGTAAGGTTTAATGACTGTCCTATTAGATTTCAGATTTACATGGGGCTGGTAGCTCCTTTGTTTTGGCCAATTTCTCTAATTTGGAGTGGGTGTATTTACCCATTTCCTGTACCCCCATTGTGTACGGGAAATAACTAACTTGCTTTTGATTTTACATGATCATAGGTGGAAGGGACTTGCCTTGTCTGAGATAAGACCTTGGACTCTGGACTTTTGAGTTAATGCTGAAATGAGTTAAGACTTTGGGGGACGTTGGGAAGGCAAAATTGGTTTTGAAATGTGAGGACATGAGATTTGGAAGGGGCCAGGGGTGGAATGATATGGTTTTGCTGTCTCATCACCCAAATCTCATCTTGAATTGTAGCTCCCATAATCCCCACATGTCATGAGAGGGACCTGGTGGGAGGTAATTGAATCATGGTAGTGGGTTTTTCCCATGCTGTTCTCTTGATAGTGAATGTCTCATGAAATCTGATGGTTTTATAAGGGGCAGTTCCCCTGCACATGCTCTCTTCTTTGCTGCCATGTAAGACATGGTGCCTTTGCTCTTCCTTCGCCTTCTGCCATGATTGTGAGGCCTCCCAGCCATGTGGAACTGCAAGTCCGTTAAACCTCTTTTTTCTTTTTCTTTTTCTTTTTTGTTTTTTTTTGAGACAGAGTTTTTGCTCTTGTTGCTCAGGCTAGAATGCAATGGCATGATCTTGGCTCACCGCAAACTCTGCCTCCCAGGTTCAAGTGATTCTCCTGCCTCAGCCTCCCGAGTAGCTGGGATTACAGGCATGTGCCACCATACCCGGCTAATTTTGTATTTTTAGTAGAGACAGGGTTTTTCCATGTTGGTCAGGTTGATCTTGAACTCCTGACCTCATGTGATCCGCCCGCCTTGGCCTCCCAAAGTGCTGGGATTACAGGCATGAGCCACCGTGCCTGGCTAAACCTCTTTTTTCTTTACAAATTACCCCCTCTTGGGTATTTCTTCATAGCAGTATGAAAATGGACCAAAACGTGCTATGTGTAAATTATATACATATGAATATGTTCATGATTTATTCTTTCAATGCTCTAATCTATACAAATTAGAAATAGTGTAATGAATTCCTGTCAGGGTTCATTTTACAGTTTCCTAGGATTATTGCTATAATTCTTCTCCCTTTATTTATTGAATCTTAGTGTCAAAATTCATTGGAAATTCTTGGGAAGAAACTCACAGGTGTGTGTGTGTGTGTGTGTGTGTGTGTGTGTGTGTGTGTCAGAGAGAGAGAGAAAGAGAGAGATAGAGAATCCATTTGCATGTGCTGTTTATTTTCTAGAAATTCCTCTATTTCTGTCTCATTCTGACAATGCTATCTGGTTTATAGAGTGGCTCTGGATTGATTGTGTTTTTTCATTACCTTTTCAGTCATTTCTGCATTTTTATGTTTGTTTTAAGTCAGTTATCTTGAATTTGTAATCCTGCACCCATCCCTTTTAAAATCCAGTTGGAATTTCTCTTGTTTCTTTTCCCTAAATGAATGTTTTTATATGCAGGGCCTTGTGGGAGGTTTGGTGCTTTAGAGCAGCAGTTAGGTAGGAGAAAGCAGGTCTCAAGAAGATACTGCCTTTATCAAAGTGCCTACCTAACTTGTGTATCACTTATTCACATAGGATATTTTGGAAATCAGGTTTAGAAATTCTCTAGTGCTACTTAATAATATTCTTATTGGATCAAATGTATTTTAGAAATGTAAATCAAGGAAGGAGGTCAGTTTTGTTTTCCTGTACTAATTTTATTATTTTTATTTTTACATTACCCTTTCAGCACATCCCAGTTACTTTGGTTCAGGAGAAATTGCTATGTTGCCTTGGCAACATTTCATATTTTGGGCAAAATTTATTGCTAAAAATTAAGCAATTTAACAAGCTTATAAAATATTACTTTGACCAAATGCTTTTTTATAGCACGCCAAGGGAAAGATGAGTGATGAACGAGACTATTATTCTTTTGTGACTATTTAAAGTACTGAAGTGAGAAATCTGCAGCTTGAAATAGAAAACAAATAAATGTAATCAATGTTCTCATAGCAACAAATGCTCGAGCCATTGTGTTCGCTCATAAGCTACCATGGTACAGGAATGGTGTTGTGGGGTGATATTCATTGAAGTAAGTGACAACTACCCTTGTTTAGTTAGAAATACCACTATGGAATTATTAATTCTCCTACCTCTTTGATTCTTACTAAATATAATGTAGTCTTTCCAAGTCAAAAGTGTTTTGGAGTTTGCAGACCCATTATTTAACACTGATAATTTTATCCAAAATCATTCATTTTCATTTGCCATGGATTTTGGATTTTGTTGGGGATTGAGATGAGTAAGTATTTTGAATCAATAAACACAGTCCCAATCTTGGCTAGACCAGCTGCTCACTTTGAGATCTTAAGAAGGCAAATCAGTGTATTTGGAGCTATTATAAGACTAAATTGTGTGTGTGTGTGTGTGTGTGTGTGTGTGTGTGTGTGTGTGGCCTAGATTTGGTAGGGGTACAATAAATGTTGCTTACTTTTTATTTTGTTTATATGAAGTATCAAGTAATCCTGCATTATTCATTCATTTATTTATTAATTAACTGAATTACCGCTTATTCAGAACTGAAGAGAAAAATAATAATATCATGGAGAAAGAGAGAAAAATGAGGGAAAATGGAAAGAAAGAAAGAAATATCAATTTGTGAAAGAAGGTCATGTGCATTCACAAAGGTTTTTATAAACTTACATACTAACAGATCCAATTAGTTGTAAATTGCAAAAAACATTTAAAAATAAATAAAAGTAATGCTTTGGAAATAAATTCTAGGACTTCCAGTATAAACAAGGTTGACTGATCCCAAGGATTTATTTCTATTCCTTTCCCAAATCCCACTGAAAGTACAGGAAAAAATGTGATTTGAGAATAAATTAAAAATAGCACCAGCAAGCTGGAAAGGTGCCATCAGCAAGCTAGAATAGATGGGAATTCAGAAAGTTACAAAGCAGATGCTATCAACTTGAGAGAGAAACCCAAGAGAACTGAGAAATCTGCTACCTCATAAAAATGAAAATGGAAACCTCCTAAAAAGCTGCATTTCCCTGGTGGAACATCATCAGAGGTGCTGTGGGCTGACCAAAGGGGTAGAACAAGTGGAAGAACTTCAATATTTGTTACATCATTCTCCAATTAAATTTGTGCATATAATTCTCCCAATAACCAGGGTGTTATTACCAAGGAGACTTGCAGAGTTGGCTCTGGGGCCAAAGTGGAAGAACAGTGAGAGCCACAGATTACTTAGGCCACCAGAAAGCAAATTATCATACCTAGAGTAAAAGATAAGCTACCCCCAATACTGGAAGAAAGGCTTCCTTGTGGTAAGCCTCACTTTCCCATACGGGGAAAAGGGAACCGGCTTTGGGCTTCCTGTGAAGCTCCGTTTTCTCTCATATACAACCAACACTGTTCTCCTGATTAGCTCTTCTCTAATTCAACATTTCAGTGTCATCTTTTGGGGGAAGACTTCCATGACTACCCTACTTAAAGTAGACTCCTCTTTGTTATTCTCTAGCTCAGCTCTTGTTTTTTAAGTGCTTGTTATGAATTGAGATTATTTTATTTTATTGCTTGCTTATTTTACTGCAAATGGTTTATTTGTCTGTCTTCCACAATCAAAATGTGAGCTGTATCACTGTGACCTTGTTTTATGTCCATGGTACTATCCCCTTTCTTTCCCAGAGCTTGGCACAAAAAAAAAACTGCTCAACAACAGTTTGCTGACTGAATGAGTGAATGAATAAGGCACTCATAAAACATTTCAAAATAAGCCACGTTTTTAGCTACAATAAAAGTATTTCCTTAGAAATAATATATGTTTTAGTAAGCAATGTAATACTCTAGAAATTATCTCAAAAAGATGACAAGAAATAAAACAAACAAAATCCACCTCTATCCAACTAAGCCCCTTATAAGTTAACTCTAAAGGTAAAAACAATTTCTGCTGAAATTACAGATTTTAGAAATGAATGGAAAACACTGACTGCATACAAAAACTGAAGGAATGAGCCTTGGTACATATTTTTGAAAATATGAGTTTTTCAAAAAAAAAAAAGTTCACTTTGAGGAGCTAAGGTAGATGAAATAAAATTTAAAATACAAGAAACAATAAAAACAAGAAAACTAACTAAAGATTAAAAATGTAAAAATAGATTTTATAAATAAAACTAAAAGTTGGCTTTAGGGAAAGGAACAATAAAATAACAAGGCTTTGGTATGTCTGATCAATATAGGTGTATTAGCTTGCTAGGACTGCCATAACAGAATATCACAGACTCGGGGGCTTAAACAATAGAAATTTGTTTTCTCACAGTTCTGGAGTCTGGAAGTTCAAGATCAATGTGTTAGTAGTTTTGGTTTCTCCTGAGGCTCCTATTCTTGCTTTGCAGATGGCTGTCTTCTCACTGCGTCCTCACATGGCCTTTTCTCTGTGTGCCCATATTCCTGGTGCCTCCTCCTGTATATACTAATCTTCTGTTTTCACAAGGATTCCAGTCAGATTGGATTATGGTCCACCTGAATGGCCTCATTGATATGGTTTGGCTCTGTGTCCCCTCCCAAATCTCATGTCAAATTGTAATCCCCATGTGTTGGAGGAGGGGCCTGTTGAGAGGTGATTGAATCATTGGGGGGACTTCTGCCTTGCTCTTCTCATGATAGTGAATGAGTTCTCACAAGATCTGATGGTTTAAAAGTGTTTGGCACTTCCCCTTTCACTCTGTCTCCTGCTCTGTCATGGTAAGACATGCTTGTTTCCCCATTGCCTTCTACCATGATTGTAAGTCAGGACTGTGAGTCAATTGAACCTCTTTTCTTCATAAATTACCCAGTCTCAAGTAGTTCTTTATAGCAGTGTGAGAATGGACTAATATACACATTTTAACTTAATTCCTTCTTTAAAGTGACAATATGCAAATATAGTTATACTATTAAGTACTAGGGGGTTGGGACTTCAACATGTGAATTTTTTGGGGGAAGGAGACACAATTCAGTCCCTAGCATGAGGCAACAGATGTTAAGAAACTATATTAAGTGTTAGAAGAGGGTTAGAACCACATATGTGGATAATTTAAATATCTTATTAAATTACATTAAAATTTGTTATTTTGTGAACGATTCACTAAATCTCATAAAATGAATATGTCCAAACTTGATTAGTAAAACAGCATAAAACGTGAATTCTCTGCTAGTTCAAAAAAAAACATAAATGGTAGCCAAATCTAATACACCATCCCTAGTTTTGCCCTTAAAGTTGCTAGACCCAGGCAACATCAAGTAACATGGTTTCTATGGATATATTTTTTTTCCAAAACAAAGAAAACAGAGTTTCTCAACATGCTGTATCAATCAGTGTAATATCCTTAACTCCTCACAATAAAACAAGAATGTTAGAAATATAATATCCCAAATTAATTCAAAATAATTACAAATATTCCAAATACACAGTTGTTTATGCAATCTAGCAGAGGACTAGAGGACTAGTACAACATACCTACGTAGTTATTCCAGAAATGCAAGGAGATTTAGCACTAGGCAATATGGTAAACTTAATTATATTAATAAATTAAAGTACACACAAAAAATTCAATAAAAGATAAAAATATATTTGATATAACCTAGTAAGCCAGAAAAAGAAAATCATGTCCAAACTCGATAGAATGAAATATATGAGAAATATTATACTTAGAGTCACAATGTTAGGATCATTTTCTCTAAAGTAAATTAGTGAGTCTGGAAAAAGTCTAAATGTCCTAGCCAATTGAGTAAAGCAAGGAAAAGTGCGTATAGAGTAGATTTCTCTTTGAACAATATTCTCTCTGGGATACTGTTCTTTTAACATTGTAACCTTGACTTTAATATGCCTAAGTATTTGGGTATGTGTAGACAGACACACATATATGTATGTGTAAACATCCTTGCAACATATTTATATTTATATACACACATGCTTACTTTTGCACATACACAAGTTGTCTACCTAAATATGTAAATATTATTTGAAGTAGTTTATTTGGAAATTCATGAATCTAGTGACCATTTCGTCATATGTAAGTGTTTACATGCTTTAGAAACTACTACAGTGTAAAGCACAAACAAGGATCAAAAAGCTATTTTTAATATAAGACCTTAATGGAAGTAGCCATCAGTAGTTTGTATTACAGGTCCTATTTGTGCCTGTGGCAGCCTCAAACCAAATAGTGATGAGATATCTAAAGATCAGTTGAATGCTTATTACTAGACCTATATTTGCTCATGGCATCATTTGCTGTTTTAAATGTGTAAAATTATTCCAGTGTAAAATACAAGCTGGTGAAAGGGCCTGGGGGTTCATCAACAACAATCTAACCCTACTCTTCTCAGAATGCTGCTTCTGATAACCATGCTAGTGTAGCACACACTTCTCATGTTATATAACATGCCTACATATCTTAATATTTTTTCCAGGCCGGTACTGGTGGCTCACGCCTATATCCCCAGCACTTTGGGAGGCCAAGGCCGGTGGATCACCTGAGGTCAGGAGTTCAAGACCAGCCTGGTCAACATGGTGAAACCCCATCTCTACTAAAAATACAAAAAATAGCTGGGATGGTGGCGGGTGCCTGTAATCCCAGCTACTCGGGAGGCTGAGGCAGGAGAATTGCTTGAACCCGGGAGGCAGAGGTTGCAGTGAACTGAGATTGCACCATTGCACTCCAGCCTGGGTGACAGAGTGAGACTGTGTCTCAAATATATATATATATCCTCCAAAATAAACCTGAAAACATAATTGCACAGTATCTCTTTAGAAATACTGCATAAATAAATGTGCCAAATATTTATCTGAGTTCAATCTCATACTCTCCTTGTGTTATGAGGGGCTAGAATTTTAAATTATATTTCTTGGACTCCCTTGTGAACTGTTTGCTGGTTAGATTCTGCCAAAAGAAGGCACTTGTTTTGGACTGAAATTTTATAAAAAGTATAGGCCATATTGTTTCTGCATAGCAGAATACTGGAGGTAGCCATTTGCTCCAACAATGGGGAAAGCCAGCAGCATCTGTGGGAGAGTGGACTTCAGGCTCCTGCAGTATCATGGTGTGCACTCATAGCTGCCTGCTAGGAAGCCACTCTGATGGCAAGGAAGCCACAAAAAGAGCTGTGAGTAACACTACTTTCTATTTCACTCTCTAAACCTCCTAACACTTTTATAGCCAATTCATCTATTAACTATTTTTTCACTGGAAATACCTAGAGTGGTTTCTTTTCCCCAGTGTGGACTGATATAACACAAGATAAAAAGGAATTTGAAGACTTAGGGAGTTATATAAAACAGATGTGAAATCTGAATAAACTATGACATACAGTGTTGTTAAGGCCTTGAGAATTACTCTCAAACAGAACTTACTGCAGATAGCTGTTAGTTTTAGGAGATGTCTTAGTCTATTTTCTGTTGCTATAGCAGAATACCTGAGATAGGGTAATTTATAAGAGAAGAGTATTTTTTTTTTCTTATAGTTCTAGGGGCTGGAAAATCCAAGATCAGGCAGCCACATCTGGTAGGCTTCCGGTAAGGGTCTTGTGCTGTGTCATAACATGATGAGAGGCATCACAGGGTGAGAAGGCAGGAGGCTGCCACTTCAGTTTTCTCTTCCTTTACTTATAAAGCCATCAGTCCCATCATGGGAGCCCCACCTTGATGACTTTATCTAACCCTAATTATCTCCTAAAGGCCTCACCTTTTAACATCATTATAATGGGGATTAAGTTTCCCACACATGAAATTTGGGGTGCATATTCAAGCCATAGCAGGAATTACAATAATTGGAATTTCTAACTCCCTGTATATAGGCTTTTCTTATACTTTTTCTATTATATAACAAATTGGTTTGGGACAGCCCTAGTAAGTTATCACATTCTTGTCTACAGCTTGCATGGCTTTGCTAGAAAACTAAGTTTCCCTTTGGCATGTAAAATTTTCAAAAAATGAGACTTTAAAAACACCACCCTAAAATTAGCTATAAAAAGGAAAATCTTCTTGCGAAACTATTTACCAAGAATTTATGACTCAAGATCAATATTCATCTCAGCAATGATATTTTGTAATTGATATCAAGTTGTATTAAAGTGCTTTCCATGTGGAGCTTCAGAAATCATTTGCTTTCACAAACTCCATTAATTCTAAGGAGTTTTATCTTTTCCCAAAATTTGTATAAACTTGCTTTGTTTTGTTATCTTCAGATTAAACCAGAAGCCAAAAGAAGGTCAGGGATGAGTGTGGAGAGAGGTAGGGAAGATTTCTGTACAAGAGGTTAAATTGAGGAATTACAGTATGGAGTTTTATGTGAGTTAGATGGCATAAAGGTGATGAAATTCATAGATTTTTATAACTGGAAAGCTTATTATTTGAAACTGTATATCATTTTCCTAAAATATGTACTCCCTATATACAGATCTGTTTCAAATGTATAGTGTTTGTTAAAATATGTGCAGAACTATAATATCATACACATTACCCAAAGAACCATATACTTCAACCTAAAGTGTTAGAATTATCCTACTGAGCAAATGACTCCTAGCAGAAGAAATAATGTTATATGAGCTATTTTTAAATAGTCGGATGTGTCACAGAAGCTCTTCAAGAAATACATATTTTAAAACCTAAGTTATATGTATATATAAAGTGTGTGCTAGTCCTCTAAATAGCATATCTTATACATAAAATAGAAACTAGTTAATTTAAGCTCTTAAAATTTCATATAACAAGTCTGCTGGAAATTTTTGTAGAGTTTGGTGATGAGAACTTGGCACAGGGATTGGGAATTTATGTTCTAAAGATGTCTTGGATTGCTTTATATGGCTCAAACCAATTGTGGTGGCTCCCTTTGCTTATTCAGGCAATGAGAAAAAAAAATCAGCCTTTCATTTTCTGGATGCAATTTGAAAAATAAAACAAACTCTTTTATTGATGTTTTATAAGTCTCAATTTTTAAATTGAAAAAAAATAAATGCAAATAACTCTGTTAAAAAAAACCCTAAAGACTGAAATATGAAAAACCCAAGTCTACAGTATTAAAACAGCTCATAATTAAGGGTGCTATCTTAATCTATTCACAGTTGTTTTTCTGGGCTACATGAGGCACAGGCATTAAGAAGCACCTGTTAATAGGTTACCTAGGTTACTTCTACTCTAGTCAGGAGGAAGTGAACTTGCAGAGCTCTTTCGGTTTGGCTTGAAATGTCTTGAGCCTTGCTCAACCGCAGACATAGTCTCTGGAAAATGACCTCTTCATTGGAAGACAGGCTTCCCATTTGGTTTTCCCACCATTAAGGAAAATTATACAATATGCAGAACTTTAGCAATAATGGATTCTGGGGAAAGGATGTTTAACTTTCCTGTCTCTGATATACAAAAATATAAAATAAATGAAGATACTAAACGATTATATACAGCATGTATGTAGAATAAAAACAATGTATAAACTTATTTTTAATCATAAAGAGTTGACATATATACTGTAAATTCTCCTCCATTTTTCACAGTTGATTGTTTTTTTGCCTCATTTGCTTTTTAGCCAATAGGAAATTTGTGATGCAGAGCTCTCAGGGGAAATATCTGTGGAAAGTAAGGAAAGGGAACAAGATTGGGCAGTGGAGTAATTTGGCCAAGGGAGTAAAAAGTGGCACCTAAGTGGTTCACTTGAGTGTGAAACATGTTCTTTCATGCTCCCATTGTGTAATAGTAGCCAAACTTTCTCCAATGATCAGCGTCAGTAAATCACTTCAGAATGATGACTTTTCTATCTGCTAGTCCCTTGACATGAAGAGTTAAGTGCTCCTGTGGTATTTATAGTTTATAGTTCAATGAGATTCTTGCCAAATCTCTGGCTGAAGCATCCCCCAGCAGAATCATTCATTGTTTTGTTAGAAATTTGAGAGTTTTTAAAAGAATTTTCCAAACCAGAATATTTTGAGTAAAAAGGGGTAAATAATAATGGGCAAACTATGCTATCTGGTTACTATAATCATGTATGACAGTATAAATAATTATGCAACTGTTGCTAGAGAAGTAAACCTGGTTTAATATAATAGCATATAAGGTTATATTTTAATGGAGTCAGGTTGATTTTTCTATACTTCCGTTATGTTATGTATGATTATGAATGGCAAATTAACATGAGGTATAGATCTTTTTGTGTATTATGTTAGAACATCTATGCAAAACAAATATTTTGGTAGGTAGGTAAGCACTCAGGCCTTCTCAATTTTCACCATAATTCAAAAAAATCATTTTAGACTATGACTAATTTCATTTTCTCCAACTTATAAGAGAGCAAAACAAAGACAAAAGGAAAGAAATAATCCACTACAAATAAAGACATTCTTGCTTTGAGAATGTGATCTGAATGACTGCAAAGACAGAATATTTTCCATGGAGTAGAGGACTTTTTTTATATTGCTCATCTGAATATTAATTGTCTTAATGCTTTGGAACATCTCAAAATGCTGAATGAATCAAAATTCCTCATTTGTGCAATGGAGGAATAAGAAGGAAAATTAAAAGATTATTATATTAAGAAATCATTAAGTTTATTGACATTAAAGTATTTATGAAAGTTACATAATTATGCATATATAGGTGAAAAGAAATTGTTATTGTCTAAAAGTGTGGATGTAGTTGAAGTTATACTCACTGTTGACTGGGTATACAGGAGAAACCAATGACTGATTGGAATTTTCTGGGTGTAATCAAGCACTAAATGCACTTGCACTCTTGCACTTTAAAGACCAAAGTCTATAATTTTTGACTACTGAATTGCCTTTATAATTCTCATTTTCTCATATATTCTCTATTGCTTTCCAGTGTGTTTATTTTCTTAGTTTTTCTTTTCAATACAGCATCAAGTTAACTATCTCCAGTTCTTCCAGCTTCTGGGACAAATAAGGAAACTTTCCCCCAAAGTTAGTTTATTTGGGGTTATGTTTATAGGATATTGGCAAGTTGCCAGCATCTGCATGATAAATGTGAATGTTATACTCTCCTGACATTTCTTACAAATGATTTGTTTTTAACTATAAAAGAGATGTATTCGTATGATCGAGTATTCTACATTTTGCATAATTTTGGGGAATGAATATTCCTATTGTGCCAGACTAACAGGCACAGAATTTTCTGTGTGAGATTTGAAAAAACCTTGTGTTTTGCCCTTATTGATAGATGAACTAAGTAACTGCAACAAAAAAGTAACCCAGTGATAATTACCACTTGTTTTGGATTCCAAATATTATTGTAGAAAAGTGACATCATCTCTACTGTCTGCTATTAAATTATCATTATTTTTTCTTATTGTAACTTTGATGTAATTTAATATATTTTTTTCAAATAGGCTGCATCTCTAATTATGTATTTATAAGAGAATCTTCATTAAGGAGTTGTACTAGAAAATTTTAAACATTCAAACAATTTTTCCCAATTATTGAGTCTCAATAATAAAGTGCTTATTTGGTACTAAGAGCACTTAAAAGGCCTTGTCAAAAAAATCTATCATTCCACCAGGCGCAGTGGCTCATGCCTGTAATCCCAGCATTTTGGGAGGCCAAGGCAGATGGATCACCTGAGGTCAGGAGTTGGAGACCCGCCTGACCAACATGGAGAAATACCATCTCTACTAAAAATACAAAATTAGCTGGGTGTGGTGATGCATGCCTGTAATCCTAGCTACTTAGGAGGCTGAGGCAGGAGAATCGCTTGAACCTGGGAGGCAGAGGTTGCAGTTAGGCAAGATCACGCCATTGCACTCCAGCCTGGGCAACAAGAACAAAACTCCATCTCAAAAAAAATAAAATAAAATAGAATAAAATAAAAAATAAAAAAATGTCTGATACCTGCTCCTCTTTGTACCTCTGGTAGAGTTCGGCTGTGAATCCGTCTGGTCCTGGGCTTTTTTTGGTTGGTAGTCTATTAATTAGTGCCTCAATTTCAGAACTTGTTAATGGTCTATTCAGGGACTCAACTTCTTCCTGGTTTAGCCTTGTGAGGGTGTATGTGTCCAGGAATTTATCCATTTCTTCTAGATTTTCTAGTTTATTTGCATACAGGTGTTTATAGTACTCTCTGATGGTAGTGTGCATTTCTGTGGGATCAGCGGTGATATCCCCTTTATCATTTTTTACTGTGTCTATTTCATTCTTCTCTCTTTTCTTCTTTATTAGTCTGGCTAGCGGTCTATCTATCTATTTTGTTAATCTTTTCAAAAACCAGCTCCTGGATTCACTGATTTTTTTTGAAGGGATTTTCGTGTCTCTCTCTCCTTCAGTTCTGCTCTGATCTTAGTTATATCTTGTCTTCAGCTAGTTTTTTTAATTTGTTTACTCTTGCTTCTGGACACACGGAGGGGAATATCACATACCAGGGCCTGTCAGGGCATTGGGGGCTATGGGAGGGATAGCATTAGGAGAAATACCTAATGTAGATGAGAGGTTGATGGATGCAGCAAACCACCATGGCACGTGTATACCTATGTAACAAACCTGCATGTTCTGCACATGTATCCCAGAACTTAAAGTATAATAATACAAAAAACTATCATTCCTATTAGATAAAAATGCAGGAGATAGTTTTAGATGATAAAGCTAAGTCAAAGTCAGAGGTATAAACAAGCTAGCATTTCTTCAAAAGCATAGGTCACAAGTACTTTCAGATGGAATGATACACCTATTGGAGCAGTATACCTGGGATTCTCTTGAAAATTAAGGTTCATGTCTGTTATATAATTGCTTTGTGATCAGGAAACAATATATTATGAGATGTTTGGATTCTGCTAAAGTTACTAAATAAAAGATAGCTGATTATCTTCATCATTGGTGATGTAATTGGAAGTCAATTTTTTAATATTGGAAAATTCTTTGATTATTTAAATAGCATGTTCCTTTTCACAGTACCACACCATCTTTTAAAAACTGCAAAAAATAAAGAGAAACTTAGCTGTTTCGTGCAATTTGATATAGATATAGACATACAATGTGTAATGAATCAGGGTAATTGGAGTATCTATCACCTCAAACATTTATCATTTCTTTGTGTTAGTAACATTCCAGATCTTCTCTTCTAGCTATTTTGAAATATACAGTAAATTATTGTTAAGTGTAGTCATGCTACTGTGCTATTGAACACTAGAGTGTATTTCTTCTAACTGTATTTTTGGACCAATTAACCAACCTCTGTTTATCTCCCTGTCCTCACTTTTCTCAGCCTCTGATAACCTTCATTCTACTTTCTACCTCCATGAGGTCAACTTTTTTAGCTCTCACATATGAGTGAGAGCATGCAAAATTTGTCTTTCTGTGCTTGGTTTATTTCACTTAACAAAATGTGCTCTAGTCCCACCCATGTTGTTGCAAATGACAGAATTTCATTTCTTTTCTTATGGTGAAATAACATTCCATTATGTATATGTACCATATTTTCTTTGTCCATTTATTCACTGATGGACAGTTAGGTTGATTTCATATTTTGGCTATTGTGAATACTACTGCAAGAAACATAACAGTGCAGATATCTTTTCAAATACTGATTTTCTTTCTTTTGAGTATATACCCAGCAATGTGATTGCTAGATCATATGGTAGGTATATTTCTAGTTCTTTGAGTAACCTCCATACTGTTTTATATAGTGACTGTATTAATTTACATTCCTGCCAACAGTGTAAGAGTGTTCCCCCTGTCTGCATCCCCATCACCAACTGTTATTTTCTTTCATTTTGATACCATTTTAACTGGAGTGAGAAGATATGTCACTGATTTTGATTTGCATTTCCCTGATGATTAGTGATGTTGAGCATTGTTAAATGTTATGTTCTTGTTGGTCATTTGTGTGTCTTCTTTTGAGAAATGTCAATTCAGATCATTTGCCCATTTTAAAATCAAATTATTTGGGTTTTTTTTGTTTTGTTTTGGAGTTGAGTTTCTTGTATATTCTGGTTACTAATGCCTTGCCAATGGATAGTTTGCAAATATTTTCTCCCATTCTCTACATGCTCTAGGTTGTTCCTCACTCCGGACTGCCTGCCTGCCTGCCTGCTTGCCTCCCTCCCTCCCTCCCTCCCGCCCTCCCTCCTGTGCAGAAGCATTTTATCTTGATGTAGTCTTATTTGTATATATTTACTTTTGTTGTCTGTGCTTTTAAGTTCTTACTGAAAAAAAAATCTTTGACCAGAACCATGTCCATAAGCATTTCTCCAAAGTTTTTATCTAGTAGTTTCATAGCTTCAAGTCTTACGTTTAAGTCTTTAATGAATTTTGATGTGATTTTTTGGTATATTTTGAGAAATATGGGCCTAGTTTCATTCTTCTGCATATGGATAGTCAGGTTTCCCAGCATCATGTATGGATTAGATTGCCATTTTTCCAGTGTATGTTGTTTGCACCTTTGTTGAAAATGAATTGGCCATAAATACATGGATTTAGTTCTGGAGTCTCTATTTTGTTCCTTTGGTCTATATATCTGCTTTTATAACAGTATCATACTGTTCTGGTTACTATAGCTTTTTAGTGTATTTTGAAGCTAAAATGTGATACCTCCAGCTTTGTTCATTTTTCTCAGGATTGCTTTGGCTATTCTGGGTCTTTTGCGTTTCTATATGAATTTTCTGTTTGTTTTTTTCTACATTTATTAAGATTGTTATTGGTCTTCTGACAGACACTGCATTGAGTTTGCAGATTGCTCTGGATAGTGTGAACATTTAAAAAATATTAACTCTTCCAATCCATGAGCATAGGATATCTTTCAATTGTTTCATGTCCTTTTCAATTTTTCATCAGTGTTCTATAATTTTCATTGTAGAGATCTTTCACATTTTTAGTTGAATAAATTCCTAGGTATTTTTGGTACCTATTGTAAGTGAGATTATTTTCTTGATTCATTTTGCGGATTGTTGTTGGTGTATAGACATGCTACTGGTTTTTGTATGTTGACTTTGTATCCCACAAATGTACTGAATTCATTTATCAGTTTTAACAGGTTTTTGGTGGCATCTTTAGATTTTTCTAAATATAGGCTCATGACATCTGTGAACAAGAATAATCTGACTTCCTTTGCAATTTGGATGTCCTTTATTTCCATTGCTTGCCTATTTTCTCTGGGTAGGCCTGCCAGTACTGTGTTGAACAAAAATGGTGAGAGTGTGCAACCTTCTCTTGTTCCAGAATTTAAAGGAAATAATTTTAATTTCTTCTCATTTAGTGCATTACTAGCTGTGAGTTCGTCACATATGGCCTTATTATTTTGCGGTACATTCTTACTATGCCGAGTTTGTTGAGAGTTTTTATCATGAAGGGATGTTAAATTGTATTGAGTGCTTTCTTAGCATATGTTGAAATAATTATATGGTTTTTCTTCTGATTCTGATAATGTGATATATCATGCTTATTGACTGCATATGCTGTACCATCCTTGTATTCCTGGGATGAATCCCACTTGATCATGATGAATGATATTTTTAACGTTGTGTTGAATTTTGTTTGCTAATATATTGCTGAGAAATTTTGCTTTTATGTTCATCAGGGATATTTGTAGTTTTCTTTTTTTTTTTAAATTCATCCTTGTCTTGTTTTGGTATCAGAGTAATGCTAGCCTCATAGAAAGAACTTCAAAGTAGTCCCTTCTCTTCAATTTTTTGAATAGTTTGAGTAGAATTGGTATTAGTTCTTCTTTAAATGTTAAATAGAATTAATTAGTAAAATTGTCTGGTCTTTCCCTAGGCTTTTCTTTGATGGGAGATTTTATAACTTCTTCAAACTTATTATAATTATTGGTCTGTTCAGGTTTTCTATTTCTTTATGGTTCAAACTTGGTAGGTTCTATGTATTCAGGAATTTATCCATTTCTTCTAGGTTTTTCTAATTTGTGGGTGTATAGTTTATAATAATCTCTAATGATCTTTGTATATCTGTTGTTTCATTGTAATGTATCCTTTTATATTTCTAATTTTATTTATTTGGGTCTTCTCTCTTTTCTTTGAGTCTAGCTAATGTTTTGTCAATTTTGTCTCTTTTTAAGGAAACGACTTTTTGTTTTGGTGATCTTTGTATTTTTTAGACTTAATTTTATTCATTTCTGCTCTGATCTTTATTCTTTTCTTCCATTAATATTGGGTTTGATTTGTTCTTGCTTTTCTAGTTTTTTGAAGTGCATTATTAGGCTTTTTGTTAGAAGTCTAATTTTTAATATAGGCATTTATTGCTTAAACTTCCCTTTTACATCTGTTTTTTCTGTATCCTATAGGTTTCAGTAGCTTTTGTGTCCATTTTCTCTTGTCTCGAGAAATTTTTTAAAATATTTTAAAATGTCTTTATTAACCCATTTGTTGTTCAGGAGTAAGTTGTTTAATAACTATGAATTTATACAATTTCTAACTTTTTAAATTGATTTCCAGTTTTATTTCATTGTTGTCAGAAAAATACATGATATTATTTTGTTTTTTCAAAATTCATTAAGACATGTTTTGAGGACAAACATATGGTCTATTCCTGGAAAGGTTTCATCGTGACATGGAGGAAAATGTTTGTTCTGCAGCTATTGGATGGAATGTTCTATAAATGTCTGTTAGGTCCATTTGGTATAGAGTACAGTAGTATAGAGTCCAATGATTCATTGTTGATTTTCTGTTTAAATGATCTGTCCATTGCTGAAAATGGGATTTTGAAGTTCCCTACTATTATACTGCAGCCATTTTCTCCCTTTAGGTGTATTAATATTTGTTTTATGTATTTGGGTGTATTGATATCAGGTGTATGTGTGTGTGTGTGTGTGTGTGTATATATATATATTTGCAATTGTTACATTCTCTTGCTGTATTGATCTGTTATTATATAATGGCCTTATTTGTCCTTTTTTTAATTCTTGAATTAAAGCCTATTTTATCTGATATAAGTATAGCTACTTCTGCTCATTTTGTTTTTCATTTACATGGCTATCTTTTTCCATCTCTTCACTTTCAATCTGTACGTGTCTTCATAGGTGACGTGAGTTTCTTGAAGAAAGCACATACTTGGGCCTTGCTTTTTTTAAAAATCCCTTCAGCCATCGTCTATCTTTTAATTGAATTATTTATTTCATTTATATCCAAAGTTATTTTTGATAGGTAAGGATTTACTACTGCCATTGTGTTACTTGTTTTCTGGTTGCTTTGTGGATCCTTTCTTCTTTTTCCCTTTCTTACTGTATTCCTTTGTGGTTAAGTAATTTTCTGTAGTAGTATGTTTTGATTACATGCCATTTTTTTGTATCTATTATATATTTTTGCTTCATGGTTATTATATGGTTACAAAAAATGTACATAGTTATAACAAGATATTTTAAACTGAAAATAACTTTGATTGCAAAGAAAAGTAACACAAACAAATTCTGTGCTTTAACACTAGTTTATCCCCACTTTTTGCCTTTTTGATGTTTTTATTTACATTTTTATATTGCCTATTTCTTAAACAATGTGGTTATTATTGCTTTAAATAATTTTGTATTTTAGTCTTTATATTTAAGATATAAGTGATTCACTTATCCCAATTACAGTATTAGAGTTTTACAAAGTTATCTGTTTTCTTTCTTTTACCAGTGAGTTTTATACCTTCAGATATTTTCTTGTTACACTTCAGTGTTCATTTCTTTCAGAATGACGAACTCACATTAGCATTGCTTGCAAGACAGTGTTGGTGCTGATGAGTTCCCTCAGCTTTTGTTTTTCTGAGGAAATTTTTAGCTCTCCTTCATATTTGAAGAATTGGTTTTTTGGGCAGATTATTCTTTGTTGGCAGTTATTTTCCTTAAGCCCTTTAAATATGGCAATCCTCTCTCTCCTGGTCAGCAAAGTGTCTGGTAAGAAATCCACTGAAAGCCATATTGGTCCTCTGTTGAATGCCATGTTTCTTTTCTCTTGCCCTTTTGAGTATTCATTCTTTGTCTTCAAATTTTGCTACTTTGATTATGATGTGTCTTGGAGAATTATTCTTTGAGTTGAATTTGATAGATGACCTAGGAGATTTCTGTACTTGTATGCTGCTGTATTTCTCTAGATTTGGGAAATTTTCTGCACTATTTCCTTAAATATGCTTTCTAGGCCATTTTTGCTCTCATCTTCTGTGAAAATTACTATTACACAGAGGTTAATTTGCTTGACAATGTCCCATAATTCTTGTAGGCCTTCACTTTTTAAAATTCTTTTCTTTTCTTTTGATGGAGTCTCTCTCTGTCACCCAGGCTGGAGTGCAGTGGCATGAATGATCTCGGCTCACTGCAACCTCCACCTTCCGGGTTCAAGCAATTCTCTGCCTCAGCCACCCAAGTAGCTGGGATTACAGGCAGTCTCCACCATGTCTGGCTAATATTTGTATTTTTAGTAGAGACGGGGTTTCACCATCTTGGCCAGGTTGGTCTTGATCTCCTGACCTCATGATCCACCGCCTTGACCTCCCAAAGTGCTGGGATTACAAGTGTGAGTCACCATGCCCAGCCTTCTTTTCACTTCTATGGTTGATTAATTTTATATGTTCTGATTCAAAGTTGCCAATTCTTTCCTTTGTTTAACCAAGTGTGCTATTGAAGCTTTCTAATGAGTTTTTCAGTTCAGTTATTTTATTCTTTATTTTTATGGTTTCTATTTGTTTTTTTGAAAATTGTTTATATTTCTTTATCAAAGTTTTCATTTTGCTCCTGAATTGTAGTCTAAATTTTATTTTGTTTTCTAACTCTATTTCCTGTGATTTCTCAATCTTCTATAAGAGGATTATTCTGAATTTTCTGTCAGATATTTCATGCATCTTCAATTCTTCTGGGTCTATTGCTAGAACTTTGCTGGTTTCTTTCAGTGGTATAATATTTCTCTGAGTTTTCATAATCCTTGAATTTTTACATTAATGCCTATGCATTCGAGGAAAGAGCCACTTTTCTCAGTTTTTGAAAGTGTTCTTGGGTGGTGTTAGAGCTTTACTGCTTAGTATGAGAACTTAAACACTCATCTGTTCTTGCTTCATGTTATGGGCAGGACTTACAGTGAGTGCTGGAACTAAACCTACTACACTGGAACTAACTTGCTGCCCTGATGTTGTTTTCTAATATGAGGAAGACTTATAGTGAACTCTGGAACTTCAATATTTCTCCAGAACAAAATTACTGCGCCTCTGTTGTTTCCCATTCTGGGGAAGACTTAAAGTGAGCACCAGAACCTAAATGTCGTCTTAGAACTATATTGCTGCCCTGCCATTGTTTCCAGTCTTGGGAAGACTTAGTGGACACTAGAACTTTATTCTGACCTTTTAGTTGTTTCCAGGCCTGAGGAAGGCTCCATATGAGCACCTGGGAATTGTGGAAAATCCTATTAGGTATTTTCATGGATTGTGCCCCTGGAGTGCTATAGCACTGGCCAATCTCTTCAAAGAGTTGTATCTCCATTGATTAGAGTGCAAGTAGCCATCAATATCTTCGTGACAGTCAGTGAGCTCAGCACCCCACTCTTCGTCCCCAATTCACTCCACTTGGTTCAGCCCTCCTGGCACTTTCAATGGTTCAAATGGAATAGGACTGAAGTAGCCTTCCTGTGAACATTCCAAGAACAGAGGGGAGATTAAACATCCACATCTAATTCTCTCCTCTTGCTTAGAAACTATGAGTCTAGGAAAATCTGTGAGTGGAATTATGCTAGTTTCGAGGAAGGGTGACACAGTCTAAAGTAACCATTTCTCTTACTTCTCATGGCTTCTCTTGATTCTGTGGGCCCAGTGGGTTTCTTCACTTCTCCCCAAATTCTAGTGAATTCCTGTGGTAGTCTTATCTTTGAATAGTTTCTAATTGTATTTTTGTAGGACGGAGTGATCCTGGGGTATTTTTTAATCGAAATCTTGCTGACTAACTCCTTGCACTATGCAATTTTTTATCTCAGGTCAACTACCAATAACTCAGAAAAGATTTACCTAACATAAGATGTTAATTCAACTATCTAAATGTATTATTACAGCTTCAACGATGTTCACTTCTTAATATTTATCACCGTTGTAATTTTACATTTTATGAAATTATTTGATAGCTGGCTCTCCCACCAGATTGTGAGCTACACCACAGACATTTTGTTCTTTGGTTTTCTTTTCTTTTCTTTTTTTGGTGGGAGTTGGTGGGAGGCAAGATGGTGATTTTATCATCCTACAACTAGTGCCTAGTAGAGTACACAATATATAGGAAAAAAAAAGTATTTATTACCTCATTGACTGAATAATAAATAAGGATTGAAAATCATTACTGATTTTAATTATCTAGGCAGTTGTGTTTAACAATGAAGAGGACCCAGTCAACATAGCATCCTGCAGTTATTTTAGTATCTCTCCATAAAACATCAGAGAAAAAAAAACAGTGAAATGTAAAGCATATAAACAATAAAAAGGATTAGTGGTCTAAACAAAAACCAATAATACAACAAGTTAAACACTTACGTAGACCAAAAGTAGAAAAAAACATATACCAGTAATCTTGGCCAATGCTTTAGACTTACTCCAAGCTTAAAAGAAGATGGAGGTGGGTGGTAAAAGGGAGCTCAAAAGCAACATTTTGGTGGCAATGTCCAAAGCCAAGAGGAAATTTATAAAAAACAGGGCAGTAAAGGCCTGTGCAAGAAATATAAAAAGATTGTGATTATTATGTGAGATCAACAGCCTTGAGCATTGGTAGCTTTTAAAGTTTCCTAAATTAATCTATTGTATTAATATTACCAAGGTTGAGAACTATTGGTCTAACAAAAGTTATTTTTAATATATTTAAGTAAATATGTAACATGTGTAAAACACCTTCTACAAATAGAAACATGGACTCTTCATGCTAACATTTCGGAGAGAAGAAAATGTATAAGTTCATAAAGTGAAAGTATATAAAAATATATTCCAATTTACCAGTAATCAGAGAAATGAAAATTAAAACACTGTTGAAATATTCATTTTCAAGGACTCATAAGTAGGAAGAAAAACAGGTTAAAATTGGAAAGCTTGAAGAAATAGAAATTTTATACATTATTGGTGCTAATGTAATGAAATTATGGGAACCAATGTAGGTTTATATAGTGAAATTGAAATTTTCTTAGAACTTCTCAGTTTTCTTTCTAAGCATATACTTCAGAGAAGTTCTTATTCATGTACTCAAAGGAGTCATGCTTATTGCATGCAAATTGGACACAGCCTAAATATCTATCAATAAGGAAATAAATACCTACATAGTCATATATGGATCTGATGGAATACAGGTTCATAGTTTCTTATCTGTATTAGCTTTTGCTGCATAATAATACAGGCTTAAAATTTAATCATTGAAAACAATGCCTATTTATTTAATTCATGTTTCTGTGGGTAGGCAATTTAAACTGGGTTCACCTGAAAACTTCTTTTGGTCGTGGCTGGGCTCAACCATGCATCTGCAGGCAGCTGTTGGTATGTGGCCTCATTCACAAGTCTGGAAGTTGGCAGGCTGCTGGCTGGGGAGAGGGAATAGCAGAGCCTTGTGTCTCTGATCAGCAATCAGGCAAGGCCAGGCTTTTTGTCATGGTGGTAGTCACAGGATTTCTATGAACAGCAACTAATCAAGATCTGATATGGGGTCACCTTTCAAGCTTCTGCTTGTGATCCATCACTAACCTGCTACTGGCCAAAGCAATCAAATAGCCAATCCAGACTAAAGTTGTGGATAAATACACACTACCTTCTCATATGAGAAGTTGCAAATTATTGAGGCTATTTTTTTCAGTCTACCCTTGGGGTTAGAAGTTCCTTCAAATTCAGAAATTTTTCATTGTAGGAAAGTGATTAACTGTATATATTAAATATTCACTGAGACCTCAAGCAGAATCTGGAATAGCTCTCTATATTCAAGCTCATTAATATACAGTAAAATATATAGCTATTGATAAAGGTAATAAATTACATCAATGTAAATTCAGGAGTTTTGTTAAAAAATTAGTTTTGTTATCAAATTGACAAACAACACAATAGCAAACTTTTGGATTTAGAGCTTTTGAGGTGTCAGAATTGTAAGTGATTTTGGACCTTGTAAACATGAGTTAAAACTAAATGAAGTTGATCATATATACTAACTTTGATAGAGCCGAAAACCATAGTTTAGATGAAAGAAAGCAAGTTGCATAAAGATACTTATCACAGTTTAACATTTATACATAATTTTAAAATCAGAAAAAATAATTTATATATATGTGCATTAAAATATAAAAACACAAACTGAAATAATATACACAAATTTCAAGGGAGTACTTAGTCCTGAAAACAAAAACAATGACAGATCAGGCTGGGGGTAAATAGAAAAGGAAAATTATTTTAAAACAATCTAAGGCAATACAAATAAGTACAGATGGAAGCTTATTATATATTATATCATGTACTATATGATGCGAATCTCAAATCACTAGGGAAAAGTCATACTTTTAAATAAAAGGAATGAGGAATTTGATGGCCATTGGAAAAAAAATTGGAAAGTTGGACCCTTACCTCATACCACACACTAGAATAAAACCCAAATAAGTCAGAAATTCCAATTGTAATAATCAAGCCAAACAATTACTACAAAAATGGATTATTTTATAGACTGAGAGTGGATAAAAGCTTTCTAACTGTGATTAAATTCAGCCATGAGAATTAGAAGAAAGATCTTATATATTGAATGTGTGAGATCTTTAAGACATATTGCTGGGAGAGAAAGAAAAGTGTAGAATAATATATGTAGCATACTTCCTTTTGGATAACAGAAGAAAAGGAAATAAATAATGAAATCTATAGACCCACATAATTCACTTAGTTTCAAAAAGGAACACGTGTCTATGGCATGGGAGGAGGTAGGCAAAGTGGAATAGCAATGGATGCAATACTTCTTTTAATAGACTATTTTTTTTTTTTTTTTTTTTTTTTGAGACGGAGTCTCGCTCTGTCGCCCAGGCTGGAGTGCAGTGGCGCGATCTCGGCTCACTGCAAGCTCCGCCTCCCGGGTTCACGCCATTCCCCTGCCTCAGCCTCCCGAGTAGCTGGGACTACAGGCGCCCGCTACCACGCCCGGCTAATTTTTTGTATTTTTAGTAGAGACGGGGTTTCACCGTGTTAGCCAGGATGGTCTCGATCTCCTGACCTCGTGATCCGCCCGCCTCGGCCTCCCAAAGTGCTGGGATTACAGGCGTGAGCCACCGCGCCCGGCCTTAATAGACTATTAAATATAGCTTTGACTACAACCATTTAAATGTTTTTTTCAATTAAATAATAAAATTAGTTTAAAAAGAAAACAAACCAAACCCCATACTGTTGAATACAAGAGGAAGCAAATCACTAGTTTTTATCTCAAATTTACAAATAACAAAGTAGCAAACTTTTGGATTTAGAGCTTTTGAGGTTTCAGAATTGTGAATAAGTGAATAGTCTATTTACAGTGTGATATAGTTAGGATATTTGTCCTTGCCCAGATCTAATGTTGAATGGTAATCCTCTATGCTGGAAGCCGGGGGCCTCGTGGGAAGTGTTTGGATCATGTGGGCGGATCCCTCATGGCTTGGTGCTGTCTTTGGATAGTGAGTTCTTGTAAGATCTGATAATTTAAAAGTATGTGGCACCTCCCTCACCACTCTCTCTCTTGCTCCTGCTTTCGCTATGTGATGTGCTTGCTCCCCGCTTGCTTTCTGCGGTGATTGTGAGCTTCCTGAGCACTCCCCAGAAGCAGATGCTGCTATGCTTCCAATATAACCTGCAGAACCATAAGCCAATTAAACCTCAGTCTCAGGTATTTCTTTACAGCAGTGCAAGAGTGGCCTAATACACCACATTTGTAACATAGCCACACAGACAAAAATTTCAAGACTGCACTGTGTGTATTCTTAGAGGAATATATCCTGAAGACATAAACAGCAAAGAAATCTTAAACTTCAGACAGTATCTTATTTTTAATATTATGGTTGATATTCTAGAGTAAAACCATTTAATTCATACATTGTAGGCAAATTGCAGAAATTATCTTGTGATATTTTGGAAACAATGTTTTCAGAGAAAGAGGAAATACATATTAATATACTAGTACACTAATAATATATTAGTGCACTGATATATGTTTATACATATATTCTAATATACAAACCACAAAATTCAGAAAAATCATTTTGATGTTTGAAAGTGAATTGGAAATACTAATGTAAACTCATTATTCTATTTTTAAAAACATATATTCTAATTTTGTCACTGAAAGGGCCTACAAACAGTAAAGCATCCCTAGGGCCCCAATCTTATTTTTTAAACGTAATATTCCATTGAAAGCAATTAGAACTCCTTCAAGAAATAGTTGATTCCAGGTCTAGGGAAGGAAATGCACAAGATATACGTAGGATAAATTATGCCAAAAAGCAAGGAAATGCTCAAAGAATAAGGGAGTGTATCAAAAGGATATAGAAGTAAGTTTAACTACATGTTAATTGCTTTAAGTGTTGGATCCTGAAAAGACTGCCAGGACTCCAGTGGCTTCACTCATGGAATAGCTTTCTTATAGGCAAAGGAGGCAGTACAACGACTGCAGGGGAAGGATATGGATTGAAAGGGATATGGAGATCTCAGGGTTAGGCTTCTTTGATTTTCTACCACTGGGTTGCAGAGGAAGCACTGACAAATCAAGACAAATCTTCAGCTTTGGATCATGGGTGGCATGCTTGTGAAGCAGCTTGGTAGCAGGAAACCCAGTTCTGCTTGTGAGAAGAATCTCTTATATTAAGCAAGTCTTATAGGTACATTCCAATTCTATAATCAACCTTAACCATCAAAACCCCTGAGTCTCTAATAAAACCATGTGCAAAACATGAGTCCAATTATCATTGCCAAGTAATGCTGATAGGCAGGTATGTCCTGCAGATCTGTAATTAAAGGACATCACTTATCTGTAGTTAATGTAATTCACAGATTGGCCAAGGGATTATCATATTCCAGGCTTTTCTGGGGCAAAGCACATGATTAATCCAAATCAGCTGAGTAACTCATGCTATGCAAAAGGATTCTCATTAGCTCAAATCAGGGCATTTCAAGCACTAAAAGAAACAGTGATAGGCAACACAGAAAAAGTTTTTAAAAATTACCCATTACTCAAAATGAAAGTTTTATTCATAATTTATTATTTTTTCAGTTTTTTCTAAATATTTTAATATTAATATTCAAAAACATTTGTACACACTAAAGCAATAGTGTAATGAACACCCATACATCCAATTTTTAACAGTTTGCCACATTTGCTTTATTTATATCTATATTTTTTTCTGAAACATTTCAAAGCAAGTTGTGAACATCACACTTAATTTCTAAAATTACATTTTGCCACTCCTAAAATAAGAACTTACTCTTATATGCTTGTATATCATTATGTCATATAAGATAATCTTAATTGATTACAATATCATTTAATTCACAGTTCATATTCAAATTTTCCCATTGCACAAAATAATTTTTATTAATTTTTTCAATAAATCTTACTAAGTTTCATGCATTTAATTTGGCCATGATTTTGCTTCCATTTCTATCATTCTAGAATGACTTTTTTTTTCATGACCATAATTTTTTAAGAGAATAGGTCCGTTCTCTTGCAATTATAACATTATTGGAATCATGTGATTGTTTGCACATGGTTTCATTTAGCTTTCATCTCTAATAATTATATTACATAGGCATTCTAAGCTAGAATTGAAAGCTTATTTTTTATATGTTTTTGGCAAGAATATTTCATAGGTCATACTGTGTATTTCATATTATATCATATCAGCAGACAATGTTTAGGTGGCCCCACTATTAGTGGTAACAGATTTGATCACTTGGCTATGATAGTGATAGCCAGATTATCAGTTTTTGGGAAAGATTTTTTTTTTTTTGCATTTAGAACATAATCTACTGGATAATATTCTGCAAATATCCACTTTCACTCAGCCTTTCACCTAATGGTTTTAGGATCCATTAATGATCTTTGTATGAATCAGTTATTTCATTGGGTGTTACAAAATTGTGATTTTCTAATTCTGTCATTTTCCCCCCTCATTTTAGCTGACATTGTTACCTGATAGAGTTTGATCATCAGCCACTGTGGTGAACTCCAAAGTCTTATGAAAAGGCAGACTAAATAGTTAATTTTGTATCTTTAATTTTCAATTTCAGTGTAAGGAGGTCCTATAATAATCAATCTCATTCGTGGCATATGAATTTTTTCCTCTTTCTTTTTGATTTTCATTATGGGTTTTTAAGTATCGAGTGTGTAAATATCAATTGTAGATGCTATTTATTTGATATTTATATTTTACCTAATTTGGCCGGTGACAATTCCAGTAATAATTCCATCTGGGTCCTGGGTCCATTTGGTATAGTATCAGCAGTCTTTGAACTCTTCCTTGTCTTCTGGCATAACAAGATGTCCTACAATTAAGGTATTTTTTCCCCCTTACATGGAATACTAATTTCTCCAGGAAGCTCTGATTTGTTTTAGTTAAGAATAATATTTAAAACCAAGATTTATCTACAAGGAGCGCTCATTGTTATTGAGACAACTTCAATTCTTTTTACATTCAGAGACCAGAGCTAGAAAATTTTTTTAATCAACATCTTATGATCATATTGATATTTTTTACTTAATTTGGTTGATTTTATATTTGCATCTTTTTTTTTTTTTTTGAGATGGTGTCTTGCTCTGACGCCCAGGCTGGAGTACAGTGGTGCAATCTCAGCTCAGTGCAACCTCCACCTCCTGGGTTTAAGTGATTCTTGTGCCTCAGCCACCCGAGTAGCTGGGATTACAGGTGCGTGCCACAATGCCCAGCTAATTTTTGTATTTTTAGTAGAGATGGGGCTCCACCGTGTTGGCCAGGCTGGTTTCAAACTCCTGACCTCAAGTGATCCACCCACCTCGGCCTCCAAAAATACTGGGATTACAGGTATGAGCCACCGCACCCAGCCTGCATTATTTTTTATTGCACTGAAAACCTTGTTTCCTAATATAATTAATATATTAACATAATTATTTGTTTTGTTTATTTTACACAGGTAGTATATTTGGAATAGTTTCAAAGTTACCATGGTGATAATATTATTAGCATTATACCTGCTGAGTTAGATTAAAGACTTCTTTGCTGGTTTTTCTTTTCTTTCTTTTTTTTTTTTTTCAGTCCTTTACATATGTGTCACCAAGAATATACAGAATACAGTATTTAAAAGTCTCTTGAAATAATGTTTCTGAGCTTGCACCTCTGTATTAATGTGTCCAAGTTGATAAGTAGCTAGGATTGTTTATTTCTACTCATTATTCTAAGTTTTAGCACTTGCTTTTTCATATAACTTTATATTTTTGAGTAGATAAAACATACATATGTGTCAAAATTATATAAAATATTGTATTTAGGGAAGTCTCTTTTCCTTTTTTATCTTTACCACACAGTTCCTCGTGCCCTCTGTAGTTGTCTATTTTAGCTTCTGGTGTATACTTCCAGTGTGTGTGTGTGTGTGTGTGTGTGTGTGTGTGTGTGTGTGTGTGTGTGTTTGCAAAAATGGACAAGTATGCCTGTATTTTGTATACTTATAATGTATAATTATATACTTAATTTATATAATTTCTTTTTTATATGGAATATGTAACTACTATATGAACTGTTCAGTTCTTTGCTTTTTTAACTTTTGATACATTGAAAATTACTAGAAATTGTTTTCTAGAAAGCAAACAAAAATAAGCTCATTTATTATTGCTCTTATTTTATTATATTTATACAAAGCAGGTACATTTACAATATATATTATTCTTTTCATCTTAGTAATTGTCTTCAAAATCTTCTCACACATTAAGCTGTCTTTCCATCCCACCCTCAAAAGGTAGCTTTTCCACTATCGTTAGTGCCCATGTATGAGAAATAGCTTGCTTTACTGAAATAGTCATTCTACCTATCTTTCAACAACTGATATCATATTACTCTCTTTTGAGAACTAACTGGAGTCATTAAAGTTTAAGCAAGAATCTTTAAAAAAATTCTATAAAAGTAGTATTAATTAATCAAGGCAAGAAAAAATTAGCATTGCTCTGTTAAACATTAGCATCTGAGAAAATTGCTTAATAACTCTACATCAAAAATTTTAATTTATATAATCAAAATATGACAACATTCCATGCACTATTCATTTACATTTTTTTCTTTCAAGCATGTTATTGGAATTAAATAAAATTAATATGATTATACTCAATTTGCAGTCAAATTTCAAAATGAAAGAACACAATTTTTTTCAATTTTTTGAAATTATGTCTTTTTTAAAAATCAGTTTCTTTCTAGAAGTTAAGCTTATAGCCCCAGGTACAATGATGTATTTGATTTGAATACTGTTTTTCCCTAAAATTTAGTATATAGGCCATTTCTTTAGTGAATTTAATTTACCTGGTCTACATGTTCCTTGTATTTGAAAATTGATTGATATTCAGATCTAGTTATAATTTTGCCTTGCAAAAAATAATACAAAGCAATCCAAAAATGAATATTAATAATTACAATTTATTGAAACTATATAAATTTTCAAAAACTAATCCAAATAATATGTGCAATGAAGATGGGTATTTTAAATTTGCTATCTGTTTGCAATTTGTTTCAACGATTCACCTTTTGATTCATACAATACAATGATCCATATAAGGTCTGAACACATAAACCAAATTGGTAATTGCTGAACTTTTTACCCTTTCTCACTGTAGTCTGAATTTTTTTTTCCACAAAGAAAGAAATGTAAATGAGAGATAAGTTACCTCTTCACTTATAGGTCAAAACTTTTGGCTTTAAGGAAGGCATAAGTAAAGCTAGTATTTTAAATTAAAGAGAAAATTAAAAGTACATGAACATATATGTCATTTGCATTATGTTAATACATGTTATATAACATAAAATATATAATAATATTTTATATTAGTAATGCCACTCCAAAATTCCAGAATAGAGTGAAAAAGCCCAGATATGGGAGCCAGAAAAACCCTCACCAAGTTCAGCTGAACTTGCTGTCGCACCGGAAAATGAGATGTGCGGGGTAGGGGGCAGGGACGAGGGGGAAAGGGACCACTCGGGTCATTTTTAAGATGAGAGAGTAGTCACAGGGGAACAGAACCAGGAGTCTAAACGAAGTATAGCATGACGGGCGTACGTTTCCCTATACAAGGTCCTATTTAAGGGCACAGGAAAAGTTACAGAATGACAAAAGAGGTGAGCAAGAAGGTCTGCAGGGTGGCTGTTTTGAACCCACCACCAGTTTAGTTTAGAAGAGGTCCAATCACTAGGACGTGGGGTATGACAATCTAAATACCCGCAACCTTCATGGTGCCAGAAATTCCAATCAGGTGAATGTTCTTCACACTCGTTTTCGTAAAAACACCTGACTTGCCTCTGGCAGAAAAGACAGGACTGTGGTGGCCAGCCTAAACGACTGATGAGAAATTTAACCTCTTGTGACAAAAAATCAGCACTAAGGACCTTGAAGAAGTTTTTATCCAGACGTCGTGGACAATATCGACGTCCTGACACGTAACACCTTGACAACCACTAAACAAGACAATAGACACCGAACAAAACAATAAACATAAAACAAACAATTGACCCTAGGGCATGTAAACAATTATGACAGTTTTCCTATTTATTATTTTTTATTAGACAGACAAGGGGAGGGGGTCCCGTGGTGGGATCATTCAGGTGCCTGCCCGGCCACTCCCCCTGAGTGAACTTGGGCTCCTCTTAGCATTGGCAGGCCGGTATAAACCCCCGGCTGGGATGGAGCTAAGGCCTGATGCTGCCTTAAGCCTTATGAGGTCGCCACGGAACCGCAGGTGAGGGCCCACTCGAACTCCGTAGCTTTTGTCGTGCAGCTACAAACTGGAAGACAAACCGCAAGCGTTTGTCCTCCCCACTCACTCACCAGTCACACAGAGTTTATTGCAGTTTTTTTTTCTTTTAAACAAAGATACCCAAGATAAGAGGTAGGAAGAGAGAGAGAGAGAGAGGAGAGAGAGAGAGAGGAGAGAGAGAGAGAGAGAGAGAGAGAGAGAGAGAGAGAGAGAGAGAGAGAGAGAGAGAGAGAGAGAGAGAGACAGAGAGAGACAGACAGAGAGAGACAGAGACAGACAGACAGAGAGACAGAGACCGGTCTTCCAGAAACCAAGGCTCAGCTCCCCAGTGTCCTGGGTCTTGACATGAGTCAACGGAGGGTCCTCGTCAGGACCACTTCCCACCCAAACCAAGACACAAAGGCGCCTACCAGAAAACCAAGGCTCAACCCACTAGTGTCCTAGAGTAACAGGCTGAGTCAAAAGAGGGACACCCTCGTCAGGGCCGCTTCCCTCTTACCAGAAACGAAGTCAAATCTGAACTACCTGACCCCGGGGTCAGAAGCTGAGGACTCAGATGTTGAATTTTAGGGCACTCACACGGTAGTCGATCCGCTCTCCTCTGGAAGACGGTCGCCCTTCGGGGACCTGAAAATTCTTTTCTCAGGTGGCACCCCCCCCCCTACAAGCCGGCCGACCTTCCGGGGAGCCTGGAGCGAGACCGGCTCTCGCCTGGTGGGGTTAATATATCTCGCTGGGGCATCCAAAATGTTCTACCCTAGCGAGTTAGAAAAACACCAGACTTTGAGACGAATTAAGAATCCTTTATTAGCCAGCGATTGAAAGACAGCTAACGCTTAAAATTCTCTCGGCCCCGAGGAAGGGGCTTGATTAACTTTTATACCTTGGTTTTAGGAAGGGGGGGGTCTAGTTAAAACAATTTTACAGAAGTAGTCAAAAAGTTAAAAGGATAAATGGTTACAGGAAAGTAAACAGTTCCAGGTGCAGGGGCTTTAAGACTATTACAAGGTGATAGACCCGGGGCTTTGGGCGTTATCAATCGGACGAATTCCTGGGAACCGCGGATATAGCTTGCCACAGTATCTTATCAGTTAATTGCATCCTTGGATGTGCTGGGAGTCAGTTTGCACAAGTTAAGTCCTTGAGGAAGGGGCTGCCAGTGAAAGAGCCAAGATGGAGTCTGTCTGGCTGTCTTAGCTAAGGGAGAGTCAATTCAGGTGGAAACAAGGCTAGGTGATTAAAGGAAAAGGGAGAGTCTAAAAACAGAGTTAGTAAAAACCAGGTTGCGCATTACAACAAGAATATACTATCATAGAGACAATTAAATCTCTTCATTTAGTTAACTGTTCTGAGAAACTGGGCACTTCATTGCTTATTTTGATGAGCCTTATTGGTCATCCTACACTTGCTTATGCACCACTTATTTTTCTCAACAAAGTCATCTAGGCTTTGTTGCCCAGCTGAAGGCAAGAGAGTCAAGAATATAAAACCTATGTCCCCTTTCTCTCTGCGTTCTGTTCTGTTTGGCCTCTCAATTTACTCACTTTTCACATGAATGTGGTCTGAGAATGGGGTTTCTTTCAGCCAGTAGTAGAAGCTCTCTGCTTCTTTTAATTTACCACCCTTGGGTGGATGTGCATGAGAGTTATTAATGTTTCTTTTCTACATTTCTGTAGTGTTTTGCAAAATAAAGTTTCACATGCCCTTTCACAGTCCTAACTACCCTGAAAACTAGATAGGCAAGTATGATTATTCAAAATCACATGCTCAGAAATTTGGGTGTGAACTACTTTGAAAGAGATCCAGCTGGTAATTAATGATCAGTATGCAAATCTGCATTTCAAACACCTAGTCCAGTGCTTTTGGCAACATACAACAACAGAAGAAGTTACTGTAGTATGGGGTCATTTCTTTCTTAGCTGCCCTAAATAATGTTTAAATAACTAATTTATTAAGGAAAATAATTTCCTGGCAGTTTCCTTAAAAAATTAAACATAAGATAATATTTATCTATTGTTTTATCTTAAATTTTAAAGCAAAATAAAAGCACATGGTACCATAGGAATAAACTGCCTGCCACCCAGTCTTAGGCTCAGTAAAAATGCTCATTAGAAGAATTTTCTTAGGATAATTCCTTAGAATCTGGAAGCTACTGCAAATATTTTAGGTTTGGCATAGAACTGAAATCAACAGAACATTTAAAAATTGATTGGAGCCTTCTGGATTTACCTCTGACATGTAACAAGCTTAGAAGTCATTATGCCCTTCCTAATAATAAGAAAAACCTGAACAAACTAAAAACAATATCTTTATTGGACCTGTCAGGGGACTATGGTCACAGGGAAAATCACCACCCTGAAATCTGGAAAGACAGGTGAATAGAGTCACAGCTGAGATTGGCTTGCTCTGGACCCATGTTTTTTTATTGTCTATTCTGATTATTTGACATCTGGGGCCTTGCTGCTCGTGGAGGGACTGCCATTCTCAGGGTTCATCAATTCCTAGAGACCGTTAACAACTCACGTGTGAGTGCACTTTTTAAATACAAACCAACCAATCCAGAGCCCACACCCCAACCACTCCCTTTAATTGAAGTCTCTTACTGAGGATGACTATCCACCTGACCTCTTTGCCACAGGCCTAGATACCAAGAACATAAAGGACAGCCTTTATGTTCAGAGTTTGCTGAAATTATTCAAACTAGCCAGTCCTAAAACTGCTTACTCTGTGTTTCCTGTTCCTTCCCACAGACAAAAAACACAATAAGGCTTTTGCCAATAGTTTTCTCCTCTCCCGCTACCCCTCGACTGATCCTGATTCTTCTTCATGTGGCTCCTATGGCATGGCACACCCTCTCTTCTTGGGAATTGTAACTGTCTTGTCAGTGGCAATCATCTCCTGATATGTTGGCCTTACTGTACCTCATTTAAAAAATTAATACTGTATATTTTAAAACAAGCCATGAACTGGTAACACTTAAATAGGAATTTTGACAGATTCCTAGAGGCTGAGTGTGGACTAGACTGAGAGTGACAAACTGCTGGGGGCACTTGGTGAAGTAGCCACATTGGCTTCTCATGGTGAGGAACAGAGAATCCTACAGTGGCTCTGGCAGGTGGAGTGGAAAAGTAACCATTTTAAAATAGACCAAAGCATTCTCAATAACAGTTCTACTCACCAGGGAAAAAGACTTTACCAGGGCCTTATCCACTGCTGCAGAAGGGAATTTCTCCAACTCTAGTACCCTTTGGCCTTCTTGTCTCCCCAGTATGGGAGAGAGAAGGGGAAGGGAAGAAGACAAAGCCAAAAAATACTTGTGAAAGTCATAACCAAGGGGGATCGGCCCATTGAAAGAGGCAAATTTAGCTATAAGATTATAGTGTGCTTCCCTTCTCTTGTACCTTACTGCTATATCAACAGGCCTTCAGTATAAAAACAGCAGATTACAATTGAAAGTACTTTACGCACATACTCTATTTGAGTAGGATTTCAAGGAAAGCCCAGAAACAATAGAGAAGATAAGAACAAAGACATTATAGGAATTTGAAGTCTCTGGCACCTACAGCTACAGAAAACATTAACCATAGGATGTCTCCTTGTCAGATTAACATAAGAACCTCACGCTAAATACTTATTTACCTCAGTTCAGTTACCCAGTTTGTTATATCCAGCTTTCAACCAAGAATTACAAGGCATTCCTAAAGGTAAGGAAAATAGTCTGGAAAGAAAAGCAAATATCAGAACCAGACTCAAATAGGAAACAAATGTGGAATTATCAAACAGTGAATTTAAATTATTATGCATATGTTAAGGGCTTTAATGGAACGAGTGAACAACATGCAACAACACATGGGTCATGTGAGAAGAGAGATGATGGAAACCGTAAGAATCAAAAGGAAATGCTAGAAATTAAAAAATACTGTCATAGAAATGAAGAATGTACTTGACAGCTTTATCAATAGACTGGACATGAACAAGGAAAAAAATCAGTGAGCTTGAAGATATGCCAATAGAAACTTTCCAAACTGAAATGCAGAGGGAAGAATGAAAATGACAGAACAGAATATTCAAGCACTATGGAACATTTACAAAAGGTATGACATACATGAATCAAGAAATAAATATTCTGAAGAGACCCATATCTGTTAAAGAAATCGAGTCAAAAATTAATAATTTTTCAAAACAGGAAGCAACAGGCCCATATGGTTTCACTGGTGATTTCTACCATACACTTAAGGATTAAATAATACCAATTATCCAAATCTCTTCCAGAAAATAGAAGTGGGGGGAACATATCCACATTCATTCTATGAGGCCAGCATTATCCTAATACTAAAACCTAATAGAGATATTTTGAGAAAAGGAAAGACAAATATTTACTTCTGATAAATATAGATCTAAAAATCCTCAATAAAATATCAGAAAATTTATCTAGCAATATATCAAAATATCTGGTTAGTATTCTTCAAAAATTTCAAGATCATAAAAAACATGGGAAGTCTGAGAAACCATCACAGCCTAAAGGAGTCTAAAGAGACATGAGGACTAATGTCTTGTGGCATCTTAGATGGAATCCTGGAGCTCACAAAGGAGAGCAAGGAAAAACTGGGAAAATCTGAATAATGTAAGGACTTTAGTTAGTAATAAAATATCAATATTTGTTCTTTAATTGTAGTGCACACATATACTAAGGTTCTAGATGTTAATAATAGGGAAACTGTGGAAATTGGAACTCTGAATTACTCTTGTAATTTTTCTGTAAATCTAAAACTTTTCTAAAAGGAAAGTTTATTTTAGGAAATATATCAAAAGTATCAGATATCAACCTCAATATTTTTCAGTGTTGTGCTTATAAGTCTTTATCGCAGATTATGCCTTTGCTTGCTATTGACTATCAACTTTGGTCCATGCTCAGAGGTTCTCTATCTTTATGGTGCTTTGCTTCTTTGTTTATCACTTTTGGGTAGAGAGGAGGTGAAGAGTTTAGGAAACCTTGTTGGTATTTGTTTTCTACTGAAAGCTTGTCTTGTTTTATAAGAAAATCTGTTATTTATAAAATTTCACACCCATTTTCAAAAAGCAAGAAACCTTTCTTAACAGTGAAAAAGCACTTTTTAAAAAATATTAGACCAGAATGTTTCTTTATATCCATTTCTTCCATATTAGGTCTTGCCTTTTCTAGATGTGTTCAGCCACAGGCACTGAGGCCAAGTGCTAGATTCACCACTGCCTTGTTTCTGAGCCTAATTTGTTAGTCTGTTTCTGAGTCCTAATTTGTTAGTCTTCTGATATCAGCAAGGTAAAGCTCAAGTTATGGAGCCTTGGACATGGTTAGATAGCAAGTCAGTTCCCATAGACTTAATTCCCACATCCATTGGCTTCTTTCTCTTTCCAGAATTGCCCATATAATCAAAATACCATAATGCTTTCAGGCTTAATGGAAGTAATGACAAAAAAAGAGAGCAAAATATTTTGTCACAAATAGTAATCTAATCCCAGTTTCCCACAAGGGTTGTTCAATATTTGAAAATATTTATCAAGTCATTATCCAGAAATGGCTTTCCTCTAGATTAATTGTGTGCATTTCTGGACTTCCACAACCTTGATTGTATTTCCATAAAGGACATCTCTTTCACTTGTGTCTGTGTGAGGAGACCACCAAACAGGCTTTGTGTGAGCAGCAAGGCTGTTTATTTCACCTGGGTGCAGGCGGGCTGAGTCCGAAAAGAGAGTCAGCAAAGGGAGATGGGGTGGGGCCGTTTTATAGGATTTGGGTAGGTAAAGGAAAATTACAGTCAAGGGGGTTGTTCTCTGGCAGGCAGGGGTGGGGGGTCACAAGGTGCTCGGCAGGGGAGCTTTTGAGCCAGGATGAGCCAGGAGAAGGAATTTCACAAGACAATGTCATCAGCTAAGGCAGGAACAAGACATTTTCACTTCTTTTGTGGTGGAATGTCATCAGTTAAGGCAGGAACGGCCATCTGGATGTGTACGTGCAGGTCACAGGGGATATGATGGCTTATCTTGGGCTCAGAGGCCTGACATTCCTGTCTTCTTATATTAATAAGAAAAATTAAATGAAATAGTGATAAAGTGTTGGGGTGGCAAAAATTTTGGGGGGTGGTATGGAGAGATAATGGGCGTTGTTTCTCAGGGCTGCTTTGAGCAGGATTAGGGGTGGCATGGGAACCTAGACTGGGAGAGATTAAGCTGAAGGAAGATTTTGTGGTAAGGGGTGATATTGTGGGGTTGTTAGAAGAAACATTTGTCGTATAGAATTATTAGTGATGGCCTGGATACGGTTTTGTATGAATTGAAAAACTAAATGGAATAAGAGAAGGAGAAAAACAGGTATTAAAGGACTAAGAATTGGGAGGACTCAGGACATCTAATTAGAGAGTGCCCAAGGAGGTTTGGCATAGCCCTGCCAGAAAAGATTATTTATTTACTTTAAGAGTTAAGAGTGGCGGGGCCGGGCGCGGTGGCTCACGCCCATAATCCCAGTACTTTGGGAGGCCGAGGTGGGCAAATCATGAGGTCAGGAGATCGAGACCATCCTGGCTGACATGGTGAAACCCCTTCTCTACTAAAAATACCAAAAAAAATGGCTGGGAGGGGTGGTGGGTGCCTGTAGTCCCAGCTGCTTGGGAGGCTGAGGTGGGAGAATGGCATAAATCCGTCAGGCAGAGCTTGCAGTGAGCAGAGATCGTGCCACTGCGCTCCAGCCTGGGTGACAGAGCTAGACTCTGTCTCAAAAAACAAACAAACTAAAGAGTTTAGCACCAGGAGATATCAGCTGTGATGGCTTGGGGAAACAGTGTAAACCGGCAGTGTAAACAAGAGCAGGGCATTTATGAGTAGTTGAGAATGGTGAATAGGAGTATGACTAGACAGAAGATAGTAGGGATGACCAGTTTTTTGGGTGGCAGTCCAAGTTGGTCTGGTGTCTGGAATGAGACTGGGGCCTAAAAAAAAGGAGTGTCTATACAGGGGCTTAAATGGGCTGTACCCTTTAGCATTCCAAGAACAGGCCTGAATTCTGAGAAGGCCAAGTGGTAAAAGTATTGTCCAGTCCTTTTTAGGTTGGTGGCTGAGCTTGGTAAGGTGTGTTTTTAAAAGACCATTAGTCCGTTCTACCTTTCCTGAAGATTGAGGACCGTAAGGGGTATGAAGGTTTCACTGAATACCAAGAGCCTGAGAAACTGCTTGGGTGATTTGACTAGTAAAGGCCGGTCCGTTATCGGACTGTATAGAGGTGGGAAGGCCAAACCAAGGAATTATGTCTCACAGAAGGGAAGAAATGGCTGCAGTGGCCTTCTCAGACTCTGTGGGAAAGGCCTCTGCCCATCCAGTGAAAGTGTCTACCCAGACCAAGAGGTATTTTAGTTTCCTGACTCGAGGCATATGAGTAAAGTCAATTTGCCAGTCCTGGGTGGGGGCAAATCCCCGAGTTGATGTGTAGGGAAGGGAGGGGGCCTGAACAATCCCTGAGGAGTAGTAGAATAGCAGATGGAACACTGAGAAGTGATTTCCTTGAGGACAGATTCCCACGATGGAAAGGAAATGAGAGGTTCTAAGAGACGGGCTATCAGCTTGTAACCTACATGGAAGAGGTTATGAAATGACGACAGAATAGAATGGGCTTGTGAATCTGGAAGGAGATATTTTCCTTGGTCTAAGAACCATTTGCCTTGTGTGGGAAGAGATTGATAGTTGGAAGTTTCAGTGGGGGAGTAGGTGGGAATGGCCAGATGAGAAGGAGAAAAACTGCTGTGAGGGATAGAAGTTGGGACTAGCTGCTTTTTTAGCTAACTTATCAGCATAAGCGTTGTCCTGACCGATGGGATCTGATGCCTTTTGATAGCTGCTTTTTTAGCTACCTTATCAACATAAGTGTTGCCCTGAGTGATAGGATCTGATGCCTTTTGATGGCCCTTGCAGTGAATGACTCCAACTTCCTTTGGAAGTAAAGCGGCTTTGAGAAGCATTTTTATTAAAGATGCATTAATGATGGAGGACCCTTGCATAGTAAGGAAACCTCTTTCTGCCTATATACCAGCGTGGTGGTGCAGGATGTGGAAGGCATATTTAGAGTCAGTATAAATATTGACTCATAGTCCTTTTGTAAGAGTGAGGGCTTGAGTTAAGGCAATGAATTCGGCTTGCTGAAAGGTAGTGGAGGGGGGCAGAAAGTATATGCGTCAGGTGTGAGGAAGAAAATAGATTTTGGAAGTTATGAGAACTGTAGAGGGTGAGTTGAGCATAGTTTGTGATTTTGAGGGCCTCTAAAAGCATTAAAGCAGTGGCAGCCGCTGCACGCAGACGTGAGGGCTAGGCTAAAACAATAAGGTCAAGTTGTTTGGACAGAAAGGCTACAGGGCACAGTCCCAGCTCTTATGTAAGAAATCTGACCACACTAACCATGCCTAGGAAGGAAAGGAGTTGTTGTTTTGTAGAAGGATTGGAGTTTGTGGTATTAGCCAGACATGATCAGCAGGGAGAGCACGTGTGTTTTCATGAGAATTATGCTGAGATATGTAGCAGATGAGGAAGAAATTTGGGCTTGACTGAAGTAATGGGGGCTGTCTGTGAAGCCTGGTGGCAGTACAGCCCAGGTAATTTGCTGAGCCTGAGGGGTTTCAGGGTCAGTCCAAGTAAAAGCGAAGAGAGGCTAGTATGAAGGGTGCAAAGGAATAGTAAAGAAAGTATGTTTGAGATCCAGAACAGAATAATGGGTTGTGGAGGGAGGTATTGAGGATAGGAGAGTACATGGGTTTGGCACCATGGGGTGGATAGGCAAAACAATTTGGTTGATAAGGCGCAGATCCTGAACTAACCTGTAAGGTTTGTCTGGTTTTAGGACAGGTAAAATGAGGGAATTGTAGGGGGAGTTTATAGGCTTTAAAAGGCCATGCTGTAACAGGCGAGTGATAACAGGCTTTAATCCTTTTAAAGCATGCTGTGGGATGGGATATTGGTGTTGAGAAGGGTAAGGATGATTAGGTTTTAAGGGGATAGTAAGGGGTACATGATCAGTCACCTAGGAGGGAGTAGAGATGTCCTATACTTGTGGGTTAAGGTTGGGGGATACAAGAGAAAGATGCGAAGGAGGCTTTGGGTTGGGAAGAAGGGTGGCAATGAAATGTGGCTGTAGTCCAGGAATAATCAGGGAAGCAGATAATTTGGTTAAAATGTCTCAGCCTAATAAGGGAACTGGGCAGGTGGGGATAACTAAAAAGGAGTGTATAAAAGAATATTGTCCAAGTTGGCAAGAGAGTTGGGGAGTTTTAAGAGGTTTAGAAGCCTGGCCGTCAATACCCACAACAGTTATGGAGGCAAGGGAAACAGGCCCTTGAAAAAAGATAATGTGGAGTGGGTAGCCTCTGTATTGATTAAGAAGGGGACGGACGTACCCTCCACTGTGAGAGTTACCCAAAGCTTGGCGTCCGTGATGGTCTACGGGGCTTCCGAGGTGATCGGGCGGTGTCAGTCTTCAGCCGCTAAGCTGAGAAGATCTAGGAAGGAGTCAGTCAGAGAGCCCTGGGCCAGAGTTCCAGGGGCTCTGGGAGTGGCTGCCAGGTGAGTTGAACAGTCCAATTTTCAGTGGGGTCCCGCACAGATGGGACATGGCTTAGGAGGAATCCCGGGCTGTGGGCATTCCTTGGCCCAGTGGCCAGATTTCCAGCACTTGTAGCAAGCTCCGGGGGAGGAGGTTCTGGAGGAACCCCTGGCAGCTGCAGTTCAGGCGTTTGGAGTTCTTGGGTGCTGGAGATGTGGCTGGGGTTTGTCTCACAGTGGAGGCAAGGAATTGCAACTCAGAAATACATTGCTACTTGGCTGCCTCTACTCTATTATTGTACACCTTGAAGGCGAGGTTAATTAAGTCCTGTTGTGGGGTTCGAGGGCTGGAATTTAATTTTTGGAGTTTTATTTAATGTCAGGAGTGGATTGGGTAACAAAATATATATTGAGAATAAGACGGCCTTTTGACCTTTTAGGGTCTAGGGCTGTAAAGAGTCTCAGGGTTGCTGCCAAACGAGCCATGAACTGGGCTGGGTTTCTATATTTGATGAAAAAGTGCCTAAACTCTATCTGATTTGGGATAAAGAAAAAGGAGCATTAACCTTGACTATGCCTTTAGCTCCAGCCACCTTTTTAAGAGGAAATTGCTGGGCAGCTGGGGAAGTTCTCCACCTGTCCAGTGGCCGTTATATTACACTTTGCAGAACATTCAGGGCATTCAGGGAAACTCATCTTGTCCACCTATTAGCAATCAAATGCCTCACTGTTAGTAACACAGAAATGTGGGTTGAATAACCAACATGGACACCAAAGAGTTCTAAATATCCATTGTGGTCTAAGGTAACAAAGAATGAATCCTTTAAGCTTCATGGCCATCCATCCCAAACGTGGGGCCAAGCTGGTATAAAAGGTTGTGGAAAACAAGAAGTCTTAATCATAATCACTGAAGACTCTTAGGGTTCTAATCTGACCTTCTACAGCATTCACTCTGACCACCAACTTTGTGAACAGATGATTTTGAATCTTGGTTCCTCTGAGCTGTCTTTCTGATAACAATATAACTAATTGTATAAATCAGGATTTTCCAGGGAAACAGAACAATAAGAAACAGAACCCAATAAGAAATGTGTTGTAGGGGAAGGGGTGAGTGGTGTCAGTGTATATACATATATTATAGAAAGAGATTTACAATAAGAAATTTATTCGTGTTATTCCAGCTCCAGCAAGCTGAAAACCTAGAAAAACCAATGGTATAGTTCCAGTCACAGTCCAAAGGCCTAGTAAGCAAGAGAGCTGATGGTGTAAGTTCTAGTCTGAGTCTGAAGGTCAGAGAAAACTCTTTTCTCAGCTCAAAGACTGCAAATTCTCCCTTAGTCAGCCTTTTGACCTTTTCAGGCCTTGAACAGATCGGGTGAGGCCCATCCACATTGAGGGAGACAATTTGCCTTACTTAGCCTACTGATTCAAATGTTAATCTAACCCAGACACACCCTCATAGACATACCCAGAATAACATTTAATCAAATATCCAGGCACCTTGTGGCCTAGTCAAGTTGCCAAAACAATCAACCATCACACTAATATTTACTGAGAACCCTATATATCCCTGTCACTTAAGCCGGACTTTAGTCCTGTTATATTTGATTTAATCTTTTCAGAAAGTTTAAAAGGTAAGGTACAATTACTGTCTCCACTTTTCCAGTGACAAATAGTAAGTACAATGTTGTTAAATATTGTTATGAACTGAATGTTCCCCCAAACCCCCACCTAAAATTTATATGCTGAAATCCTAACCTACAATATGTTAGGATTAGCTCTCGTGAATGGGATTAGCACTCTCTTAAGAGGAGACATGAGAGAGATGCTGTTTTTTTTTTTTTTTTTTGGTCCATGTGAGGATACAAGAAGACAGCCATCTGCAAAGCAGGAAAAAGGCCCTCACCAGATACCAGATCTTGCATTTCCAGCTTCCAGATCTTTAAGAAATAAATTTTTAAGCTACCTAGTCTATGGTATTCTTTTTTATAGCAGTACAAGCTGACTTAAACAAATCTTTTCCAAAGATCACACTTCTAAGTAGTGGAACATCTGTCTAGCCCCAGAGCTGACTCAACTATTATGGACTAACTGACCCTAGTATGCTTGTTTTTTTGAGTCCAGCTGAGCCAGCTGAAAGGACAACAATCCCAGCTTTGGTAGCAATGGTTGCTCTAATGAAAGTGAACTTCAATCACACTATTGTTTATATATTTTGTTCGGTTAGCATGGCTGAGGACCTGGTATCCCTACTTTTCTAAGGTGACTGTGGGGAAGAAAAATCACAAGGCTTTTTGAATGGTCTAGAATGTTTATATTATAAAAAAAATCTTAACAACAACCAAATTTATACTCCATATTCTATTGCACCAAACTACTACCTGCTCACATTTCCACATTGTTACATATCTCTACTCAGTGATATACTGCAGTCTGCTCTTACCTGCTTGCAAGGGCCAACTGTGCACATTCCTTCCCCAGAGCCCATTGTTAGACATTTAGCAGCCCACCACTGACTTTATTCCTTTGTTCACGCTGATCACTTTTCTTCCATGACCTTCCTTGCCATTTTCACTGGGTTTAATTTTCAAAGGTCCTCATTCATCCTGTAAAAGTAATGTGTTGCCTATGTAAGCAATTCTTAAACTCCTTTCTTGATGCTTTTGCAGTATTTCATGGTATGTATGTACTATTGCTTTTTTATTGTTTTAAAATTATTTAGTTGTTTGAGCTTTTGAAAGATAGAGCCAATATTTTATTTATTTTTATATTCCCAGGATATAACAGAGCTCCCAACATGTGGTTGATGCTCAGTACATGAATCTTAGGCAGGGGATCTAATAAAAGTTTTTGAACACAGGAGAAATGTGATCAAAACACTAGTTGGAGAAAATGACTTTGGCAGTGGTAGGACAGGTGAATTAAAGTGAGGAAGATTGAAGATCAGAAGCATGGTTAAGTGTCTGAACCAGGATGGCTACAGAAGAAATGATGTTGAAAAGTCCATGAAGAAAGACTCAACAGGATTTGTTAATAATCAGCTGTGATATATACCCTTGCTACAGCATGTGTGGAGGCTGAGCTAGCAGTATCAGCATCTCTTGGAAGCTTGTTAGAAGTGTAGAATTACTAGCCCTACTGGAAACCCAGTAAATCAGAATTTGCATTTGAACAAGATCCCCAGGTGAGTTATATGCATATTCAAGTTTGAGAATCCTTGGTCAAAGAAGAGGAAAGAGTATAATATGACAAGCTTCAATCCTTTGTTTTTTAATCAAAGACTTTCTCAATATTTCCTTCTTTTACAGATTCCTTTACTGATTCCTGTGAAGTGACTGTAGGACAGGGACAGGTGAAACATTGGTTCTCGCAAAGAAAAATGGAAATAATTGAGATTTTTGGTGCATGTGTGGAAAATAAAGCCCCTTTATCCATAGAATGGATGCATATCCTTAAACAGCTCATGGAAAAATGTGCTGCATTGAAGCTTGTTTTCTACTGCATTTTTGTTGCAAAATATCAACTATTATGTGTAGAGATCCCTAAGTCCACGAGTAGCCTTAATTCTCAGGTATTACAGTGTGTCCTTCAACTCAAACTTATCTTCCTCATGGGAACCGTTTCCAAATAATTTTTTAACCCATTATTTCTAGCAGTCTTGTTCCTCAAGGCCATTTTTGAAGCTAAATTCAATTAGCTAAACTGGTAGATTAGTTGTCATGTGACAATGTTAATAGTAATAGTAACAATGTTCATACACATAAAGCTTATAATACGCCAAGCACCGTTCTGAGCACTCGACATATATCAACTCGCTAAATCTTCATAACAACATTATGGAATAATTATACAGCTCTACCACCCTGAATGTGCTTGATCTCCTCTGACCTTGGAAGCTAACCATAGTTGGGGCTGGTTAGTACTTGGATGGGAAACAACACTAAGAAAATGTAGCCTACATTTTACAAAAGAAGAAACTGAAGAATAGAAAAATTAAGTGATGTGCTTATAGTCACACTCCTAAGTAGCAGGCTTGGATTCAAACTCAATGACTTAAGAGACAGTTTTCTTAATGACTCTGCCAATTGTTCTGTAACTGTAGCATGCATCAAAATCACCAGGCGAATTTGTTAAAACACAGGTATCTGCCTTCCCAAGAATTTCAGATTCAGTAGGGCTGGATAATTTGCATTTCCATAAATTTCTAAGGTGATCCTGTGGCTGCTGGTCCAGGCATCACTCTTTGAGGATCACTTAATTGTGCTACATATGACCTCTCTGTGTTTGATAAATTTTAGCTTACCTAATTATGCTTTAAAATAGCCTTTTTGTAGAAAAATAAAAACTAGACCCAAATGAATGATATGCATTGAGAATTCCCAGATGCTTTGAAGAAAACATTTTCTGATTAAGCAAATAAATCTTTTGGAGTGGCTTGTACCACAAACAATTCATTGCCTTTTCTTTACAACTAATGCTTTTTGGTAATTCCATTCCAGTGAGAAACAGGACTAGCTGGATTTCCTAGGCTATCTAAAAATTCCTAATACTAGGGAATATAATGATTTCAGTATGATGAGTTAGAAATAGCAGGTGACCTTGATACTCTACTTGTTTCTGTTTTGTCATGAATTACCTTCATGCCCCGTGAAAGATCACATGACCTCTATTTCTTTACCTGTTACATGAGAGTCTTGGACTAAGTTTACTTGTTTCCTTTGTCTTAATCCCATAAATGAACAATTCAGGATTGAGGGCCAACTATCTCCCATCAGAAGGAGATTAGAGGCCCTACTGCAGAGTTACTTTATGTTGTTGCAATGATGCCCATGGCTTTCTTGTTGCCAAAAAGGAGGAAATAAAAGAGAACTCTGTCAGCAGTGTACTAATCATGAATCTATGCAACAGTGACAGTTAATCTTCTCTTCCTATTAATAGATGCAGATGCCTAAGGGCTTAACATTTTCCTACTAGCTTAATAAGGAGAAAAAGATTGAAGGGGAAGCAGAGATGCCTAATTGCATAGCCAGCAGCTATTACAGTGTTGCTCAAAGGGAGAAACTCAAGAGAAAGAGGCAAGATGGAAATTCAGCATTGGCCATGCCAGCAAGTTGTCCCCTAAGGAAATTAAAAGAAAGTCGTTTTGATCTGTTTTGGTGCATCTCTAGGAGAATATTCAATTAAGAACCCAGATGAGCTTTCACTCACCGTGGTGCCTGCACAGCTGTATAAAACAAAGCTGAAGATATATTGATCTTCCTGAGAATGCCATGGAATACTTACTGCAAATTCACAAAAGAAAAATAAAGCTAAGTCTTCCTGGCTTTACAAAACCATTTTGATTTTCAATTCAGGAAGTCATCTTACTGTGCTTAGGTGTTTCACTGGCATTTGAACATAGGAAGGTTGTGACAGGGAAAGGGACATGTATGCTTATAAAATGAAAAAAAATTCACTTGTGACTTTGAATTTTTTCTAGTTTCATTTATAAATTAAATGGATTTCTGTTACATCTCTAAGTACCATATTCTGACAGTCACTCTGGTTCCTCAAATAATGTATTCCCAATAGAGGAAAAATAGTACCTTAAAAATAACGTATTAATTAAGAAATAGACAGTTACATAAAAAAGCTAACACATTATTTACACATTAAATATACTTACCTTTAAACAACTTCCTCACTAACGAATAGCCACTATATAGACTATTAAAATGATGCTTTGTAAGCTCCTATTCTGAGATTATAAGTAATGTCTTGATGGACCACATTGAGTAGCAATTAATCAAATTTAAATTAAACAATCATGCTTGAGTGCTTACTATTGATATTGGTGGGCTCGGAGAGGTCCCCAAATGCCAGTGGGACATCGACCCCAGTTAGTGTTCAGGCTTTTGACACCACTGTGGGAACGAATTCCGGGCTGAGTCAAAAAATAGTGAAAGTATGACAATTTCTTGCAAAGTGAAAAGTACACACTCAAGAAAAGGGAGTGAAGGTATACTCAGAGAGTCTCATACAAGGGGGTTTGGGGCTTCTTACCTTTATGGGTTTCTTCAACCCAGGGGTGGAATATTGATGAAGATTCTTAGAAAAAGGTGAAGATTTTTTGGAACTGTGATGCCACCCATTTTTACACCAACTATAGATGTTTCCAGAACTGTCATGGCACTGGTGAGTGTGGTAATTTAGCATATTAATGACTATGTAATGAGGTCCTAGATGAAACCTGGGTCAAATCCAACACCATGTTGGGTCCAGTGAGTGTTAGCCAGCTTGGCCCATATCTTGTTTTTCAGGATCTTATAGGCCCCTAGCTTATGAATCTATTTCAACAGTTTCCTTTTGCTAGTCATGTGAAACTGCTGCCTAGAATTTTTCTATTCTCTGGCGATCACTCTGTATTATTCCTGTCTCACTATGAGCCAAGTCTTCTGCTAGATGCTGAGCACACAGATATGAAAAAGAAAATTGCCTAGCATCCAGTGAGTTAGTGAGGAAGCAATTCCATTTAGAAATAAGAAAACCTTTGAAACCACCTTTGCACAAATTATAGAAACGAGAAAAGGATGACAGTGGAATATACCTGATCTAACCAGCCCCCAACTTACCTATAGCCTCCAAACTGCCCTTAATCATCGCTAGGCTTGGGCCAAGCTATCTTTGGGAGAAATTTAGTTTATAGTTTAAATGATAATAGCCCTTCCCCAAAACTAAACCACCTTGGAAAAGTTAATGAAAGGCCTGCCAAGTTAGGAGGATGAGAGGAGCCTGAATTCTGCTAAGGTGTAGACATAAAGGATTACCAGCCATTATTCCAGAAGCTGTAAGATTTGCAACTTCCCTAATTACTCCTGCAGATAATATCACTATTGTAGCACTTAAGATTGGCCTTTTGAGATGTCTTTTCAGGATTTTGCATTTCTGATGACCAATGGCTCCACCCAGACCGCCAACAAATCCTGTGGCCACACCCAGAGGCTGGCTCAGTGCACATGAGGACCATTTTCCACACCCCTATGATTACATTGCCAACCAATCAGACGCAGACATTCCCTTACCCGCCAAATTATTCTTGAAACCTCTAGCCTCTGATTTTTGTGGGAGTCTGATTTGAGTAATAATAAGGTCTCTTGTTCAGCCTGCTGTGCGTGAATTAACCTCTTTCTCTGTTGCAATTTTCCTGTCTTGATAAATAACCTCTATCTGGGCAGTGGGCAAAATAAACCCATCGTGCAGTTACACCTTATCTACTTAACTTCTCATATTTCTCCAATGTGGGAAAGGTGTGTTTGAATTCTGGGAAGCATGAGGTGACTCATATTTGTTACAACACTAAAAAAAATTGTGAATTTTCATTATTCTGTTATTAATTTCTGCTCATGTTTTAATCTGTTGTTTGTCTAATGTCTTACATTACTATGTCCATAATTTATTAATCTGTACTATAGTGTCTTGTACATGTAAGCTCCCTGTTCTATCCAAAGTTGAGGTTCCTCATCTCTAATATAAAGATTATATATTTAAGGGATTTTTATGAGAATTAAATAATATCATAAAAAGAAAATGTTTTTTAGAAAACCAAAAATCACCTTAAAATGTAGGCTTTTATACAGAAGTGTTTTGTACTATGGGCAACAATTTAAGCTCACAAGATGAATACATTATGATCTTGATAGTTTAATATTTATTTGTTATTGTGTTATATCCGAAAGAGGTTGTCAACATGGAGATGACTATTTCATTACTTTTTGTGGAAAAATGAATTTCATCAGAGTGATCACACCTTGACTATAATTTATAAGTATTTACTTACAACTCCCCCTTTTCATTGCAACAATGACTAATCATGCATCATCTAAGATGGATTATATGAGTGATTTAAGAAACATTGAATTATTTAACCTGATTGAGGGTTTAGATATTCAAGAGAGTTGAAATTGTCAAAAGAGATACTTGTGAATAGGAGAGATTGCATTGTTCATATTTAAAATTGTGGAGCCTAAGATACAGATTTTTTTTTTTTTTTTTTGAGATGGAGTTTTGCTCTTGTTGCCCAGGCTGGAGTGCAATGGTGCTATCTCGGCTCACCACAACCTCCGACTCCCGGGTGCAAGCAACTCTCCTGCCTCAGCCTCCTGAGTAGCTGGGATTACAGGCATGCACCACCACACCTGGCTAATTGTGTATTTTTAGTAGAGATGGGGTTTCTTCATGTTGGTCAGGCTGGTCTTGAACTCCTGACCTCAGGTGATCCACCTGCCTGAGCCTCCCAAAGTGCTGGGATTAAAGGCATGAGCCATGGCGCCCAGCCAGAAACAGATATTTTAAACTAAACTTCTCATTCTAGTCTTGTTGACTTTGCATTAATTGCAGTTTTGTACAGATACTCCTTTGCAGTAAGAAAGAGACTTGGGGAAGTACACTCTCATGTGTCATAACCAGCTCATGGGGAGAAATTACTTTGGACATTATTTGAACAAAAATGTATTTATTGTTTGAATAAAAATGTATTATAGGAATGAATTTCAAATTGAGATTAATATAAATCTTTTTATTCAGATACTATAAAAATGATCTATAATATATACTACATTATTTCATTTTTTAAAATGACATTTTCATAAGCTCACATAAAGTAGATTTCACCTCAACTCTTCAGTTTGCATTAACAAGTCAATTATTATTGTGTTTAGCTGTAGGGAAACCATTAGGACATTGATAAGACATCTTAACTGTGATGAGAGCAATTGTGAATGTAAGGGGTAGCAGTTTGTAGAATGCAGTGAGATTAATCTGTAGTGTACTTCATAGGGATTGGTAAAATCAGGCAATTCACCAGGACACAGTACCTTTCCTAAATGACTCATTTCTCTGTTAGAGAAAAAATAGTTTAATAAATAAAAGATACTTTGTAAGAATTAGTTTCTTTAAGAGCAAAGACCAACATATAAACTGAAAACTTGATGCCTTTCTCTGCTCTTTTGTTTGCACTTTCTTCTTGTGGTGTTGTATTCTCCTTGTCCATCCAGTGTGAGAGTAATCTGTTTCCCAAGGACGTATGGTAATAAAATGTAAAGAGGGGTTTTTAAAGTATAACAGTGTATTTAAGCTGTCTTTTCCTTCCTATGCAAAGTTATTTACCTTTTTAAAACAATTGAATGGCCTTATGGTATTTCACAGTAACATGATTTAATGCCATTTCCCTATTAATAAACTTTTAAGCTCTCTCTGTATTTTTACTATTGGAAACAATGTGACAAGGAGCACACTTGTATTATTGTGCACAACTGACTATTTGTATAGAATAGATTCCTAAATAATCTTTCTGGGACAAAGAAATGTATATACAGAATTTCACAGATATTGCTAACTTTCCCTCCAAAAAGCTTATGCCAATTTATACAAAAATAAACAATTGAACAAGGGCAACTTACCTTCCCAATATTTTCAATCCTCTTTAAGAACTTTTTTAATATGTAGCCTATTTCTTTTAAAGCTGTGAAGTCATTATTTTACTTGATAGTTTTATGCTTAACATTACATATTTCTACAATGAAGAATTTTCTTTCTAGATAAGTTTCTTTCTAGATAGGAAATTTCTGAAGGGGGATGAGAATAGCATTGGAATTCTCCAAAAAGCCAAGTTTGTGGTTTTCAGAAAAAATTCACTTGTGATATACTAACTTTGTTAAATAAAAGGTGACTTCTTAAGGTGTGTGATTGTCATTATGATGTGTATATATGAAGGACGTCTAGGATTATGTTTGAAGCATTGTATAATACTGCAATTTAACTTGTCTCTTAAGAAACAGAAAAATAAAAATTAATCTATGTTGGTTGAACAAAACATAGTGCTTACAATTAGTCAGACACAAGAAAATAAAGTTGTTATTCATTAAAATGGCAAATTCAAAATTGGCCTCATTTTTATACTTAAATCTCTGTATGTACATATATTTTTGCATAAAGAAAGACTTTCCTTGAAAGAAGAGGAATAACACAAAAGGGTAGATACTGTGTGATTCCATTTATATGGTATTCTAGAAAAGGCAAAATAATGAGACAGAAATTAAATCAGTAGTTGCCAGAGGCTGGGATGGGGGAAGGAGATTGACTGCACAGTGGCCTAAGGGAACTTTTGAGGTGATGGAGATGTTCTATGTCTTGATTCTGGTGTGGTTACCTAACTGTCTGTGTGTCAAAACCAATCTTACTGTATACTTTAAAAGGGGGAATTTTACTGTATATATCATATCTCAATAAACCTCCCTTGAAATTTTTAAAAAGTTTTAAAAAAAGACTTCCTTACCAAATTCCTGAGTATAAATGATGAAACAACATTTATATAAGAAGAGTGAGGAAAAGGCTGTTTTTCAGTACATTAAAATGATTTTTTTTACCCCCAGAATAGCTCCTGGCCTTATAAATTGAGACACTTATAAAAGAAATGATTCCCTAGCCTTGGTACTTGACTAATGTTATAACACTAAAGACCAGTTGACACTGCATAATGATTACATGTGACAGTGGCTTTCTAAATATGTCCCTGATTTTTCCTTGAAAACCACTTTAGGTTTTAGAAACGCCAGCTCTGAATAAATGTTTCTGTAATATACTTTTACTTTCAGGTTTTGAGATTTATTCATCACAACTTGCTGTTCTGAAAGTTCTCACAATTGCAAGTCGCTAAACATTACACAAGTTACTAAATAATTTTATGCAATATTAGTTCTTCTAAATAAATTTTCAATGTGTTTAAAAATGGAGTGTTTTGAGTGTGTTAATGAGATTACTTAATATCTCATAAGATATTATTTTAAAATTTTATTGTAGAAATAATAGCACTAAATACTATAAGTAAAGCACCCATCCCCTTCAAAAGCTATTGTTAATATTTGGTGACTTTTTCTTTGGTTTTGGGGGGATGGAGTCTCGCTTTGGCGACCAGGCTGGTGTGCAGTGGTGCGATCTTAGCTCACTGCAACCTCCAGCTCCCAGGTTCAAGCAATTCTCCTGCCTCAGCCTCCTGAGTAGCTGGGACTACAGGCACACGCCACCATGCCAGCTAATTTTTGTATTTTTAGTAGAGATGGGGTTTCACCATGTTGGACAGGATGGTCTCGATCTCCTGACCTCATGATCCATCTGCCATGGTGACATTTAAATCTAGTATTTTATTCTAGAAGAAATAAAACCATAATACCATGTTTACATAAAAGATTGGATTGTCAAAACAGACTCATATGAATCACAATTAACCAAAAAAAAAAAAAAAAACTCTCACTGGTACTACACAGAATACATATGGTCAATGACTAGAATAGTGACTAGCTATTGTTCTGTAAATCCTTAATTTATTCAAGATTTCTATTTGTCTTTAAGTCAGTTTTTATAAGTTGGATATTTCTGGAAATTTGTCAATTTCACTCATATACATTTTCAAATTTCTTGGTATAATGTTCATTCAAATCATATTTTGATGTTTGTAATCCATATATAATCTATAATATATAATATATACATATGTATATATAAATATGTATGTATATACTCTATATAATATGTAATCTATAGTAATGTACCCATTTTCTTTCTGAAATAGTTTTATGATGTTTCCTGTTTTTTTTTCCTTGCTTTCTTTTTTTTCTCTCTTTTTTTTTTTTGAGATGGAGTCTCGCTCTGTGGTGTAGGCTGGAATGCAGCGGTGTGATCTCAGCTCACTGCAACCTCCACCTCTTGGACTTAAGTGATTCTCCTGCATCAGCGTCTGGAGTAGCTGGGATTATAGGCACTTGTCACCATGCCTGGCTAATTTTTGTATTTTTACTAGAAATGGGGTTTCACTGTCTTGGACAGGGTGGTCTCAAACTCCTGATCTCAAGTGATCTGCCTGCCTTGGCCTCTGAAAGTACTGGGATTACAGGAGTGAAGCACCGCAACTGGCCCCTTTCTTGTTTCACCACAGGTGTGTAAATCTTATTTATATTGTCAAAAAAATCAACTTTTAGCTTTGTGGATTCTTCATTATATGATTGTTTCCATTTCATTATTTTCTACTTTCATTTTTATTATGTCCTTCCTTCTAGTTTCTTTTAGGATTTGTGTGCTGGGTTTTTTAATCCTCTAACTCTTGAGAAGAATGCTTTATTAATAAAATTTTTTTTATTTTTATTTTTGGCCATGATAAAAAGTCAAAAAAACAGATGCTGGCAAGGCTGCAGAGAAAAGGGAATGCTTATACGCTATTGGTAGAAATGTAAAATAGTTCAGCCACTTGGAAAGCATTTTGGAGATTTTTCAAAGGACTTAAAACAGAGCTACCATTCGACCCAGCAATGCCATTACTGGATATATACTCAAGGGAAAATAGACTATTATACCAAAATGACACTTTCATGCATAGGTTCATTGCCACAATATTTACAACAACAAAGACATGGAATTAACCTAGGTGCTCATCAATGGTGGATTGAATAAAGAACATGTGGTTCATGCCTATAATCCCAGCACTTTGGGAGGCCAAGGCAGGTGGATCACTTGAGGTTAGGAGTTTGAGACCAGCCTGGCCAACATGGTGAAACCCTGTGTCTATTAAAAATACAAAAATTAGCCAGGCGTGGTGGTGCACGCCTGTAATCCCAGCTACTAGGGAAGCTGGGGCAGGAGAATAGCTTGAACCTGGAAGGTGGAGGTTGTAGTGAGCTGAGATTGCCCCACTGCACTTCAACCTGGGCGACAGAGCAAGACTCTGTCTGGAAAAAAAAAAAAAAAAAAGGACATATGGTACGTATACAACATGGAGTACTATACAACCATAAAAAAGAATGACATCATGTCCTTTGCAGGATCATGAATGGAGCTGGAGGTTATAATCCTAAGCAAATTAATGCATGAACAGAAATCCAAATGCTGTATGTTCTCACTGATATTTGGGAGCTAAACATTGAGCACTTATAGACATACACATGGGAACAATTGATACTGCCAACTAATAGAGGAGGGATAAAGGGAGTAAGACATGGGTCAAAAAACTGCCTATGCTCACTACTTGAGCGCAAAAAACCTACACATGTACCCACATATCTAAAACAAAAATTGAGAAAAAAAAATCTTCATTCATTTAATAACATAGATTTATCTTGATACATTTCCTTCAAACTAGTATTTTAGCTGTATCTCTTGCATTTTGATATGTTGTGTTTTCATTATGGTTTAGTTTAAAATACCTTTTAAGATTCTATGATCCATTTGGTACTTGTATTTGTATTTGAAACCTACCAAACTTGGAATTTTCTAGTCATCTTATTGATTTCTAGCTTAATTTCATATGTTCAAAGAAACTTTAACAAGTATTCTACCACATAAATATACAAATCTGTTTACTCTTTCTATGGGTAGCATTTGGATATTCACAGATTTGTGGTTGTGTGTATGTGTTTATTCAGTAGATTTGTGGATTTGTTTTTTAGCTTTATATGACTGTAGCCTTATAGACTTTGTATAATTTATATAGCTTTGGATATAACATAAATTTATGGGTAACATTTCGTTAGACTTATATTACTGTAAAGTTCTGCTTCATTGATTTTGAAACTATTTTATTATGTTCATATACATTTAGCAATGTTATACCTCTTTGGTGAACTGAAAGATTTTTATTAGCAGTATCATTCTAAATTTCTAATTGTGCTTTTCTGAGTTCAAAGCTATTTTTCCTTTTTACTAATATAACTAAAAAGGATTTAATTTGAGCAGTCTTTGAATGTTATTTTCTATTTCTTCACATTAAACTTCTGTATGAATATGTTTTATATATATTTCTCATAAAGGACATGTAATTTTGTTTTTAAATTAAATATATCATTCTGTGCTTTTTTAGCTAGTCCATTCATTCTTGTCATTTGAAATGGGTGTCATTAATGACCTATTTCCATTTGAGTTACCCATCTTATTATATGTTCCCTGTTTGTCCCTGTAGTTCTGTGCTTGTCTCCATTCAAAATTTTTCTTTTATATTAAGAGTTTTAATTTTTTTCTTCTGCTGCTTGTATAAAGTTATAGTATCTCCTTTTATTTTTGTTTTCATTGTAGAAATTAAAACATGCATGCTTAACTTAATATTTTCTCACAGTAGTCAATATATATTACTCTTCTCAGATGTTACAAGTATCTTTGAATATTTTAACATAATTCCCAGAGCTCTAAACATTCTCTACCCCTGGTTATTCAATCAAACACTAATCTAGGCATTACTGTGAAGAGATTTTGCAGATATAATGCAAATCACAAGTCAACTGACTTTCAGGTGCTGAGATGATCTGGGTGAACCTGACCCAATCAGGTAAGCGCTTTAAAACCAAGAATTTTTGCTGTCTAGTGGTAGAAGGGGAAGGTAGATTCCTAACACCAAAATGCTTTAATATGCTATTGCTAGTTTGAAGATGGAGAGGCTCCATGTGACAAGAAATGAAAATGACCTCAATAAGCTGAGAGCAGCTTGTGCTGTTAGCTAGCAAAAGACTTCAATCATAAACCTGCCAGGAACGGAATTCTGCCAACAACCTGAATGAACTGGATTCATCCCCACTTATTCATGCTTTTCTGTATCCTTATGTAACTGATTATACTTTTGTGTTGCCTTTGCAAAAGAATATATGAGTCATTTTTTAAGGTTGCTACCTGGATGACTGGGGGCGCTCAACTGGACCCTTTCTTAGGCAGGCTTTGGACTTCGGCTTCAGTCACGCATTGGCCCTGGAGTTCATCAACATCAAAGCTCAATTCACCACTCTGTTTCATGAATATTGATCTCCTAAAGTATTTAATAGTTTCTCAACAAATTTCTGGGTTACTAAGTGCTTGCAGCTCTTAATTGTCTGAAAATATCTTTATTAGGTAGCCTTATTCTTGATGTTAGTTTAGCTTGACATAAAATTTCAGTTCAGAATTATTTTTCCTCGGCATTTGAGATTTTTTTCCTGAGATGTAGGCTATTAACTACGTGGTTTTTCCCTTCTAAGTAATCTGGCTTTTCTGATCAATAGTTTTCATGTTTTATTTCCTTTTGTACATTATTTTATTTACTTTTATAATTATACCCTAAATATAAATATGTTTCTACTAGGCGGCTTTTGTTGAATCATTTCAATTTGAACATTAATATTCTCAGTTCTGTAAAATTTCCATTCATTATCTTTTCAAGGCGCAATCTCTTTCTTTCAATCTAAAACTCATGACAGAAGTTTGAAATTTCTTCATTTCAAAATATTCATGGAGATTGTTTTTGTCTTTTGCTAATTTAAGGTGGAAATGTATAACATTTCTAACATCTAAATGGTACACTTTCTTTTTTTGTTTTTATTTTTATCTTTTTGAGATGGAGTCTCACTCTGTCACCCAGGCTGGAGTGCAGTGGTGCAATCTTGGCTCACTGCAACCTCCGCCTCCCGGATTCAAGCGATTCTCCTGCCTCAGCCTCCCGAATAGGTGGGACTACAGGCATGCACCACCACACCCAGCTAATTTTTGTATTATTATTTTTTTTTTTTTGAGACGGAGTCTCGCACTGTCGCCCAGGCTGGAGTTCAGTGGAGCGATATCGGCTCACTGCAATCTGCGCCTCCCGGGTTCAGCCTTTCTCCTGCCTCAGCCTCCCGAGTAGATGGGACTACAGGTACCCGCCACCATGCCTGGCTAATTTTTTTGTATTTTTAGTAGAGATGGGCTTTCACCGTGTTAGCCAGGATGGTCTCAATCTCCTGAGTTCGTGATCCGCCCGCCTCGGCCTCCCAAGGTGCTGGGATTACAGGCGTGAGCCATGCGCCTGGCCTAATTTTTGTATTTTTAATAGAGACAGTGTTTTGCCATGTTGGTCAGGCTGGTCTTGAACCCCTGACCTCAGGTTATTCACCCCCTTCGGCCTCCCAGACTGCTGGGATTACAGGCGTGAGCCACCATGCTCGGCTCTAAGTGGTACATTTTCAATGCGTATTCTATTCTTGTTTCTCTAGATTTTTAAACCTTCTACTCTTATTTTGAGAAAACCTTTCCATTATTAATCTCTTTGATGGTTTTTGCCATAATCACATCTCCACAGTCACTTTTGACATATATGGTACTAATCTCAGGAATTAAAATGTGGATAGAGTGGTTGGGGGGCATAATTTAGTGTATGAACTCCATTTTATTTTATTGATCTATTTCTCCATCACAGTGTCTTATTTACTATAGCTTTAAAATAGATCTCAATATTCAAGAGTGGAAAAACTATTCTTATTCAAGACTGTGTCATTTTTTGCTCTTTTTATTTACATATAATTTTGAATATCAGCTTGCCAATTTCCACACATATGTACACCTACTGAGATATTTATTTTGAATGCATAACATTCATATATTAATTTCACAAACTTTAGCACCTACACATTTTTGTCTTTAATAATTGCATGGATTGAGAAGGTACATTTAAATTTCTAAATAATTACATCTATTTTGAAAAAAAAAAAAACCTGTTAAAGCAGGCTAGCCTTGGGGAGGTCGGAATTGTTCAGGACATGCACAATTTGTTTTAGAACATTAAATATATCTGACTCCAGTTACACATGCACTTACTGATTCAATGTTAACTTGAAATAGTTCCTGCTGGTAAACTTGCATCATCATCTTTTCTATTCACCAACTTGCTGAGGTCAACTTTCTTCCTTGGATCTTGGTTGTCTAACTTTATTCTTTTCATTTATATTTATTCCTAGCTTTTTTGTATGTGCTCCTGATGAGTATAAAGGAAACCAAAGGCTCTCAGCAAAGTTGCAAAACAAGAAAAGACTGATTTGTAAAGACATGATGCAGACATATTTTCTAGAATATAAGTGCAGAATCTCTGCAGCTTCACTACCTGTACTAAATATGTCTACAGATGCCAGAGACTTAAAAATATTTTTAAATGATTTATGTTATTTATTGAGTCAGTTTCCCTTAGAAACAGACTGAAGTGAGAATTTGTGTGCATGGAAGATATCTATTAAGGGTGATCTTAGGCAAAATCGGCAAGGAAGTGAGGGGAGCTAGAGAGGATAGGGAAATAGCAGTACAACAGCAAGGTGTCAGGGGACGTCTAACTTCAATCTGATTCATCCAGAAACTTGATGCTCACATTGCAATGCAGATTGTGTTCTAACTGTAGGCAAAGAGGCTGGACTTCTGTAATTCAGACTAGTCTGTCATGAATATACCCTTGGCTGTGTAACCCTAAGACAACTCCCAGAGAAGTGGCTCCAAATGGCCAAGGGTGAGCCTCTGAAGAAGTTGCTGGGTAGTTACAGGTGTGAGCCTTGTGGCCACTGTGGGGATGGACACTCAGCAAGTACAAAGGTTCCCAGTTGATTTGTCCTGGAGCCAACATCATATGTTACATGTTTTATTCCCTTGTGAGCTCTCTTTTACATGAACATTGCTTATAGCAAATACTGATCTCATTGTTAACCATGATTTCTCAGAGTACTTGATATTCTTTAATTGTATGAATTGATTTATAAGAAATTTATTAATCTGAAGGTATACATAATTTTAGAAGGATATTCTTTGGCTTCTTACATGTGTTTAAAAATTACATCTTGGGCTCAAACATTTTTAAAGAAACATACATTGAAATTATAATGTAAATTAATAGGGTATTAATGGAATTAAGAGGCCACAGATGACACTGGCTAGCTATTTACCAAAGCTATTTTCCTGTTCTTTCTTTTCTTCTTAGACTGTATTTCCCAGCCTACCTCTATTGAGAGAGTTGTTACGAGGTTATGCCAACAAAATGTTCATGGAAATTATGTATGCGACTGCCAAGCCTGATCTTCCATACAATCCTCAGGCTTGCTCTTTCTCTGTGGGCTGGTTGGATCTCAATGCCCAGGGTGACCAAGGGGTGGGGGATGGGGGGGATGTGCTGAAGATGGCAGAGCCTCCAGCCATCTGAGTTTCTGAATTAGTAACAGAGCATGTCACATCCCTTGCCTCTAACTGGACTCTAAAATGAGCAAGTAATGAACTTTAATTATACTAAGCTGTGGAGATTTGAGGGTGTGTAGCTAATGCAATTACTAGTATTGTCTTATTTAACATACATACCAGAATATATACACAAACATACTTTCAGGAGATTATAGACCCTAAAAATTGTTAAACACACTTGTGTATGTATATCATTAGTATATAAGGGTAAATAGTAAAATCTTAAGATTAAAATCCTTTTCTATTATGTCATCCTTATTGGTAATGTATTTTAGAATTCTTTTCACTGTAAATACTATTGCTTAATATCTTGAAGCCAGAATCTCCCTTAGACTTATATATTCTACCTAATGCTTAAAATAATTGTTGAAGAACAAGAATAGCAGTAATTTTAGAGGTCAAAAGAAGAACATTTTAAGAATGGCTGTAAAATTTCCCATGAAGTTTTGTTTTATTTGAATTTGTCTATGCTTGATTTTTTTTTTTTTTCTGGTATGAAACCCTGAGCCACAGTAGGGATTCGATAATTTGTTTTTCTGCTCTCAGCTTATACAGCTAAGCAGCAAACCAGCTCCCCAAGGAAAATCGGAGAAATATCCATTCTTTCAGCTACAAATTTGACTGCAGTGAACTCACCAGGCACTTTAGGTGTCCATGATTAATGGGAAGTCAATCAGCTCAGACACAATATCTTACATTATTGACATCCCACTAATTAAAATAATTTGAGGGATAGCAAATAATTTGAGGTAGAATTTCTGGAAATATCATATGAAAATAGGATTATTAGCTGGTAACTCAGTAATATTCATTGACACAGTAGCTTGGTTTGCCAGACAAATTATCATCAATGAATAGGATATGAGATGTGATTTAGAGAGGTTTTAAGAAAGGGAACATAAAATCGAAGGTCTGTGTTCAGTTTTTTTCCTTGATATCCTAGGAATAATTTGTGCTGCTTGTAACCCGATGGTGTAAAAGAACAAGTCTAGGGACTGTGGAGGACAGGACAACACCACAACTTCCTGCTACAGAATTACAGCTAGGACCAATCTTTTTTCAAAAGAAATACACAACTTGGTTTGTCATTACATTATCTCTAAGGCATTTTTATCCATGTGGCCATGCTTGGAAATCGGAACATTTTTCAGTAAAAATCTACTTACTATGATGAAAGATGTGTTGCTAGCACCTGGGTCATTGTGACTTCAAAAAGAACATTATTTGAGGAATAATTAACACAGTTCTTCCTTTCCAGGATACGGTCCCCAGAAACATAATTTTATTCATAATTATGCTTAGAAATTATGTATGATGTTCAGGAAATTAAATGTATGTTTTATTTTGAAAGGTCAAAACATTGTTTCCAAAACTAAGTATTTCTTAAATATCCCATTTAATTCATGCAAAGAATAAGAACATTCTAGAATTATAAATGTGTTTAATTTCATTTCCTATATTTAAATATGAATGTGGTGATTTGCTTTATTTCTTCAAAGGCCACTATAATAAATCTTTCTTCAATGGAAGAGTTCTAAAGATCTAAATTATGGTGTTTTTGTTTTGTTTTGTTTTGAGAAGTAGTAATTGGCTTTGTTGCCCTTTTAAGTGAATTATGTGGGAGGAATCTCTACATGTTTTCTGAGACCTAGAAACAATCAGACAGCAGTTGGCATGTCTATTTTTAGCATTGAGATTTTATAAAATAAAATGAAAGCCCACTTATAATTATTTTTATTCCATTGGTGAAAGGGTCACAGATTATATTTTTAATAATTTAAGCTTTTTTAAATTCTTAAGGTCATAAAAATTGCTTAGCAAATTGCTAAGCTGAGAATGAAAGATCCTAGGTTGTCATTTAGGCCTAAGCAGTGTCTGCTCTCTTAAGTAAAATAACACCTTTTCTGATAATATACAGGATATTTATCACATATCTACTGGATATTAAATGCAAGGTATTCTTTCAAAGATGGCTATGAGATATGGTATGGTATGGTTTAGATACTAACCTAAAGATTTCATTCTGGATAATTGGATAATTTGACGGAGGGCCATAGAGATTCATTTGCTCTCCTAAATCCATAGCCTTATTTAGATAAAATTTAGATTTGGAGATGTAAGTCAAGATGCAGAGAGTGCTTTGGACATGTATGGGTGAAAGAAAAACTTATACATATTTAACTGATAGTATTTACCAAGATTTGAAGCAGGTACTTTATATACTACATTTTATGGAATCTCCATAAGAGCCATGTGAATTAAACATTGGTTTTCCTATTATACAATAGATGATCTTCTAGTGTTACCTGTAAGAGAAATTCAGAGATATAAATTACAATGGGATCTTTTACTTGGGACCATGCCAGCCTCCTTACTTAGTGTCTTTTACCCAGCACCATCTCCTGGAGGGAAAGCACTTCTCTCTTGATCATTCTTAGGCTCTTCTTTCTTGAAATTTTCTTTTAGTGAGAGAGGGGAAACTCATTGGAGCAAGTATTTGTGGCAACACTGACTAAGGCCTACTTGTTTCTTTGTGAAGCTATTTACCACCCGAGGAATTCTCACAATTGTATAACCACAGAGAAACAAACCTATATGTGGGCTGCATGACCCAGGCAGTTCCTGTCGGTGGCCAAGCCAGGAGGAACACTTCTGACACCCAAATTTCCCGGATGACTAGGGTTCTAGAATAGCAGGTTTCTCGTATTAGTAAGGCTCAACCCTTGATCATAAAGCTCAAGGTTTTCCAACTTGATTGCATCCCCACTGCCAAATCCAACTCTTTGTAAACATGTGTTTCTAAACATAAGAGGCAGCAGGGTATGAGATCCCCTTCTAGAGAGTCCAGTTGTGGTCGACCCACATATGTCTCTCCATGTTGTGCTAGAGCTTGGGGAACCCTGTCATTCACCAGCCCTGTGCCTGAGGATGTCTGTTTTGAGATTTTTCCTGTGGATTATTTGTGCTGCTTAGCTTAATTCTCAATTCAAAAATAGCTTAATGGAAATTATTTTCCCCATCCTGTTTTTTTGTGTAACTGTAGACATGGCTTGGGACAGAATTTAGGAGGAAAAACTCAATATTGACCTCTACCTGTGTAAAAAAGACAGAAAGATTTCCTTTATGCTATTTGCTTTACTATTTCTTAGCACTTCACATTTTAAATGGAAATATTTCAAAGCAAATAAAATACCTAAAAAGTAGTCATGGCATTCTATGCAGTAAAAAGAAACCTATCAGCAGAAAGGTGGGATTTATATTTCTGCAGAGCGTACCTTCTGAGTTACATGAGCATTAAAAAAGATGGGGGAAGAGAAAGAGGTACTTCAACTATACAGGGATAAGTGTCACAGTATTTTTAATTAAGAAAAAATACTGACTAAGGAGCTAAAGGGAGAGCTCTTGTTTTGGTAGTATCAGACTGTTGATGAGAGTAGAAAATAGTCTGCGTGTGCCTATTAAGTTATTTTTTCTGCACCCTGCATCAATTCATATTACAGCTGTCAGAGTTGGTACAGGTTTTCAAGCAAATTCAGGCAATGCATTCACTTTTCTTTTTCCCCATTTATTCTTCTCTCTAACATAGGGCCTTAAGTTGCCCTCAGATTTGCATCCTGCCTTATCATAACTAACCATGATATTTCTAGCAAAACTGGTGTCAACCTACTTGAAAGTACATTTCCATTTCTTCAGCAGACTAATTGTCTCCTTCAATCCAACATCTGCTTGCAGAGATTTTAAATTAAGCCCCAGAAGATTAAATAAGTTATATAGTTATTAGCAAAAAGAGATGGTACCAGAATATATCAAGAATTTAGCAAAATGCAAATGCTATACCAATATCAAGTATAGCAAAGTGAGTCTTCCAAATGCAAAAGCCTAACAGAAATCTATATATTTATTTTATTGTGTAGATGTCAATATAACACTTGTTAGTATGTATGAAATGGTGATTTGGAATCTTTCCTAAAGCAGCAAATGATAATTATCCATGGATGTCTACACTATTTCCCTATTGACTGGCAATCTAATATTTAACTAAGCTAGCTTAAATTGAAGTACATTTCAATTGCACAATTTCCTTTGAGAGCAGATTGCAGTTTTAAAATTCAGTAGGCTGAGGTATATCAGATATGGCCATGCTAAGGGAGAAGACTGATTTTCTGTAACCAATTGCCTCCTAAGAAAGTGAAATAATAAAGAAATAACCTTGGGCTTTCACACTGTAGACACAGAATATTTGTTTCAAAAATAACAAAATAACAATAGCAATTAAAAAACTGAACCCCTGACTTACAAAAAGTGTATTAAGATCTATCTAAAAAAACCTATTAGACTTTGTTAGAAAATTCTTAGAGAATACCTGAGGCTATTATTTCCATAGCAAAAAGATGAAGATCTGGGTATTTACTCAGTTATTTGCTTATAGACTCTTTTCTTTATTTATTCATTAATAAACATATATTAAGCATTAATTCCTGAAACCTGGTATAAAAGGTAAAAGATTACTGGCAATTAGTTATATCAGGTTGCTAGTACCTAAAATGGTGGGAATCATAAAATAATCAAATAATAAAAAATAACTTGTATTTTAAATTTACAAAACAGTTTAATGAATTGTTTTTATTAAATATATGTTTGTAGCCATAACATTCATATCAATATGAATAGATATATGGCAGTGCTTGACTAGTTGTACCAAGTATTACAATTTTACATTTAATTTAGCCAGAAATTGTTTCTAATATATGCTCAGAATGCTTTAAGCACCAAATGACATCACCTGCGTTCAGGCCCCCAGAACTGGGGTTTGAAACACTAAGCTGTAAAATATATTGGGCTTCTTTTTCTTTTTCTGATGTTAGGAACATCCTAAGACTCTCTGAAATTGAATGGTGCTATTTTCAGAAGACATTAAACGTGTGCCTTTTCAAAATCTTTTGATAGTTTATGCCACTTTTTTTTACCACAATAATAATTTTAGAGCATTTTGGTATTTTTCAACTCACATATTTCTTCTTTCCTACTTCACAGTCTTGAAGTCTTGTCAGATTTCCCCATATGATCAACTCACTCCACATTCAGATGAATAGGTATGAGATCCATGCTGCCCAATTCTTCTATATGCCCAGCATACATAAATAAGGAGCTATCATTAAGAGCTTCACTGCTATACCACTTGTTCATATAAGTTATTAAAAACAGGAGCAACTCTGTTCCCAAAAATGTTTCCACTGACAGCTCTAGGGAAACTAGAAAGCAGTAGCTGATATGAGTGTAAAAAGGGGAGTGACTTTACAATATATGTCTTTCTCTCTTTATTTCCTAGGCTATAAAACTATGTCGAATTTCAACTTCATATTTGATTTTTATTGCATTGAAAAACTTCAGTAGTTATTTTTAACAACAAATTTTTATTCTTTCCCATACATACTGGTTGAAAATAAAACTAATCAAATCATTTCATTATATTGTTCTTCAGACTTAATGAAATAAATGTTTGATAACTTGTGTCTTTTATTCTTTCCCCCTTCTTTATCTACTTCAGGAATATTAGATTCCTTTACAGTTTTTTAAAAATTTTAAATTTATGAGTAATACATTTCTCTATGTTTTCCAAGAGGTTTGCATCTTATACTACTTTTTTGAGTAGACATGGTCAAGTATCATTGAAGGGGCAGCCAATTCCTGCTCTGTGAGGCCATTTTAACACCGCTGTCCCTCACCCGAAAATGCTTGTGTTACCATAGACATTAATTATCAGGTCCTTCAGCAACACAATGTCAAAATACGCACTTGGTATATTCAAATAATTCATTGAAAAATAAATCGACAAATTTCTTGGCTTCAGTGGCCAGGCTTTTAAGTATTCTTTTTTTTTTTTTTTTTTTTTTTTTTGGTCGGAGTTTCGCTCTTGTTGCCCAGGCTGGAGTGCAATGTCGCGATCTCGGCTCACTGCAACCTCTGCCCACGGGTTTCAAGCCATTCTCCTGCCTCAGCCTCCTGAATAGCTGGGATTACAGGCGCCCATCACCACGCCCAGCTAATTTTAGTAAAGATGGAGTTTTGCCATGTTAGCCAGCTGGTCTTGAACTCCTGACCTTAAGTGATCCGCCCGCCTCGGCCTCCCAAAGTGTTGGGATTACAGGCGTGACCTACCGTGCCTGCCCTTAAATATTTAAATCTTTTTTTTTTTTTTTTTTTTTTTTTTTTTTGAGACAGAGTCTCGCTCTGTTCCCCAGGCTGGAGTACAGTGGCGCGATCTTGGCTCACTGCTCACCTCCACCTCCCGGGTTCACACCATTCTCCTGCCTCAGCCTCCCGAGTAGCTGGGACTACAGGCACCTGCCACCACGCCCGGATAATTTTTTATATTTTTAGTAGAGACGGGGTAAATATTTAATTCTTTAGCATCTCACTTTTGTATTCTTGGGTTCATACTTATGCCCAGGTCTTGACACTGTGTCTTCAAGTAGCCTTTTGACTCCTGCCACAAATTACAGCTGTATATTGTATTATCTGAATTATCTAAAATCATGGCTATTTTCCTTTTTTAAGAAAAAAAAATCAGTTTTTCAGTACTGAGATATTGGTTTTAAACAAAACACAATAATGAGAGCCTTTACATATTCAGTAATTTAGCAGTCCAATTATGTCCTTCTGTCCTCTAAGTCAACATGTTTTAAAAGTGAGAGAATAGTAATTTTATATCTACATATGTGGAAACCATGTTTTTTTTTTTAAATACAACCTTTTAGCTTTGATATGAGGCAATTATGTTTTTCAGTAATATCTGGGATCTATTCTACCTGTTACAATTTTGTGTGTCGTAATAAGCCACAGAAAACTGTTGTAGGAATTGGAGGGCTTGGGAAGTAATGCCTTTGACTCTTTGCTTGCATAACTCCCTGGCAGAAATTTTTCCTTCCAGTAAAAATATAATATGAAAAGCGGATTACTGCTCAAATCAGGTGTACCTGGGAGCTCGGTAGATAAAGGAGATTTGTGATAACAACTGAAAGAATGAAAACAGGGGAAAAAGATAGTAGTTTAGAAGGTAAGTAGAATAATGATTTCAGCTTTGTTTTTAAGAAAAAAGGACTCTTTCCAAATTAAATGTGGTTCCTGTTATCTGTGAAAACATTGGAAAGTTTAAGGTTTCTATTTCTGAAGTTTTTGTATTCTACTAATATCACTTCCAAGTTAAAAACCCAAAATAAATATTTTAAGACAAAGTGTGCATATCATTTACTTTAAAGATAACTGTTGCACCTAAGAAACAACAACAAAAAAAGATATTTCTTGAAAAATTTTAATTATCTTATCCTCGAATATCTTGTGATTACATGCCGGAATCAAATACACAATATTTTTAAAGATCATAAAGCAGTATACTTAATTCTATCAAGGAAAAACTATTCAACATATATACCCTTCATATCTAAGTTTCCCTGAATCAGAAGGTTTCTAATTCAGGAGGTTGCTTGGAAAGGCCGATGTATGAAGTGCTCTAATTTCCACTTGCATTAGAATGCTGAGGTCCATTCCTTCTAAACATTTTCCAAAAACATTTTTGAGTATATCATTTATTCATTCATCCTTTCAGTTGATCTGACAAATATTTATTGAGCTCCAACTATATCCTATGTTCTGTGTTTGGGATATCGCAGTAAACAATAAAGGCAAAATCAATTTTGCTCTCAAGGGATTTATACTCTAATCAGGGAAATCCACATTTGTTTATATGCTTATATAAACAAATACATTTATATCTTTATGTGCTTATATACGTTATAATCATATACACAAATTAATAATTAAAATAACTTTAGATATTTTAAAAAATCCTGGATATTAGCCATGATGATCTGGCAAGGCCATTTTAAGAAGAATGCATTTCAGCTGCGTCATGAATAAGAAAATAATAAGCCAGCCAAGCAAATGTCTGATGTAAGATGTCTTCAGATAGAGGAAACTACAAGAACTAAACTTCTGAGGCTGGTGCAAGTTAAGAGATAGAAGTAGACAATAGTGGCCAGATGGAAAAAGATCTTATAGGCCTTAAAAGTAAGGAAGGGATTTCTTGGTTTCTTTGTTTATTTTCTTTTCTAATAATATTATAATAAGGATTTTAATCATAGGAAATAAGGGATTTGATTTATACTTTAAAAGATCAAATGGAAAGTGAGCTGTAATTAAACTAAATGGAAAGTGGACTAACTCTGGTAAGGTGTAGATTTAGCTATGTTAATCTATCCTAGCATTGTTTCAGTATAAAAGACAAGGTACTGTGTTAGTATAATTCTTTGTACAATCTTTCATACTAGAGGTAAGAAAAAAAAGTTTCAGTCAGAAGCCTCTAAGAGTGTTCCTTATCTCTGGGCCTTACTAAGATATCCTTTTCATTTCTCTCTAGCCTTTCATGCCAGAACAGGGAGAAGCTTTCACCCAATGGCATAGGGACCAGCTAGTTGGTTCATGTCTCTAGCAAACTTTCCTTTTATTCCACCACCAATTCCAACCACCAAATTGGGAATCTACGAGCATTTGGTTCAAAGAGCTCACAGCCTCATTCACAACCAAAAATATTTCAGAGTGTACTCTGCAGTAAGAGCTATACCATAGTGTGAACACATTGCAAAAAAAGAAAGAAGGGAGAGAACACTTCTGTCTTGGGGAAGTTAGGGAAGACAGCATAGAGGATGTTGTGTTTGAGTGAGGCCTGAAGACATCTAAAGTGGTTTTAGGCAGAGAAAATATAAATATAAAATTTTCTCTAAATTACAAGGAAAAGTAGCATGAATTAGAGCATGTAAGTATGATCATATATGATTTTTAGGTAAATGGAAAAGCACACGACTTCAGAAAAAGCAAAGATTTTTATGTCACTGGCAGTGGTAGGAAAGAAAATTGAAAAATTTATTATTTGTACCCATGGTACGGAATATGAGCATTAATTTTCAGGCCTTTGATGGAAAGTCTGCAAATAATTTTTGAGCATGAGGGTGACCACCAAATTTGTGTTTTACAAAGATAATGCTAAGGAAGAGTGTAAAGAATGGATTGAAGGAGCAAAAGGGCAAGAGACTAGCAGCAGAAAAACCTGTTAGACGTCTTTAAAGCGGTCTAGATTAGATATGCTAAGGGGCTGGACAATGAGAGATGGAATCAAATAGGGAAGAAGGATAAATTAAAGAATCATGTTGGTGTAGAAGTGATAGGGTTCATATGTGAATCAGGTTTATCTGCAAGAATAAGTGACGTTATTGAAGTTTATAAAGCTTCAGGCTTAGACTACTTACTGCATGAGGATGCTGGCAACCTACTAACCTATGACCTGGCCCAGGTATTCCAAGGATTATAGTCATTTGATAGGCTAGAACTTCACCTAAATCTCCCCATAATCATCCTAACTTCCAGTTTCTTTTTTTTTCCCCTTGATGTTTGGTATTTGAATAATGAATGTACCTTTCTTCAAGTAAGATGCAATATGCTTTATGTTTTAAGTTGGAAATATCTCCTGCCTACCAGTTTTGCCAGTGTGTTTAATGTTTGTTTTATTTTTCAAAGATGAATGAATTTTGGTTGAGCCATTGCTCCTAATAGGCAATACAGTCACATATTGTTTTCAGTCCTCCTTTATAAAGCAGCTGTATTTTTCACTTATGGCTGATTCACATCTTCTCATGAATTTAATTTTCTTCCATCCACATTAATTATCTAACTAAAGATGATATGGAGTTGTAATATCATATCAGTGACATAAATTGCCTATTACATAAAGTTAAGATATAGTCAGTTACAAACAACAAAAGAATCAACACAACTAATTTTTAATGAGAGATTTTTATGTTATATATAAAAAGAATAGTGCAACCACCAGGTTGGTTAATTGAAAGGCTAAATATAAAGCAAAGAAACGGTTTCCTTCAATCATCTTGCACTGCTATTTTCATCACACCAGGTTATCTTTTTAAGGTATCACAGATACCTTAAAAAGACATCACCTGTTCTGATAAAAAGATACCACCTTTTCTGTGATATCACTTTTTAAGATATCACAGAAAAATGAATAATTCTTATAATGTGTCCCTTTACAAGGGTTAGAAAAACTTTACTAGATGGTGTTGTCTAGACTTCCTCTCACATCTCATTGGCCATTTATACAACACTTGCTCTGTCTAAGCCAATCAAGTGTGATGACAAGAATAATGAAACCACCATGATTGGCTTAGACTCATCCTTCTCTGAAATGCATGACCATCTAATACCTGAACAAAATCAGGGTTTTATGTGAAAATATGCAGGAACATGGAGGATGGTTTTCTAAATAGGCTACTAATAGTATTCACCACTGCAGTATTCCTGAAGGATGTTTCTTTTGGAATATTTTAAGATTTGTCAATTACATACCATGATCTCTGGGTAGATAATGCTCCCTGAATACCTTTCCAACCTTGGAGCTTTCAGCATTAATTGGTCACTCATTTGGAGAAGACAGAGGGAAAAAAAAGTCATCAGAGTTCTTACCTATTGCAACACAGTCTCAGGAATTTGAACTGGGCATTGGCAAATTTCAATATTGGTCCTTGTTCAACTGCCCTTCCAGTGCCATCCATCATGCTATTAGGAATCTTGTCCATACATGCTGTTCTGTGGCTGCTCAGAAACTCTCTAGCAGAACTTCAAGTATTTTCTTCCAGTTAGTAGCCTTCTGTTTCAAACTCATCTATTTGACCAAAGTGTAACTGTCTTCTAGTCTCAGAAGCATTTCTGATTCATATAAGAAGCTAAGCTCTATCTTTGTATTCACTGGAAGTAATGGGTTAAAAAAATTCATTTCTCAAGCAACAGAAATGTATTTTGACAAAGATCTGAAGGTTCTAAAGATTATCCAAAAGAGGACACTGTTTGAAGCAGCATTTTCTAGTTTGCTGCCTATTTGACATTTGGCCATGCACTGATTATATCACATCTCAAAAGTAGCACTTGCTTACCTGCATTTCTGTAATATGCCACTGAAATAATACACGTGAAAGGGCACTGACATTGTGAGGGGCTGCTCCAAGAAGTTCTTGGGACCTGGGGCAGAAGCTACAGATTAGAAGACCATGACAATGATGAGTATTGTTTCAGGCATTAGCTAGCTTCAGTTTTTGGTGGAACCAAAGTGTCGAAACTCCAGGTAGTCAGAGTGGTGAAATTTTTAAATTATGGAGTGATCATCTTCTTCACGTCTCCCAGAAGTCATGGAGTAAATATTTTACAAACAACTAATTTTTGATCTCCAGTTACGTAAGAATGATCTGATTAATTTCTGTGAGTGAAAAGTTGTGGTATAGTGGTAACAGTCAAAAAATGAATATTCTAATGATTATTGCAAATGTCATCTCTTCATGCAGGAATATAGCATTAAAACAATTGGGGCTTACTAGCTCTGTATATATGTGGAGGCACAAAGAAATTCTAATGAAATCCCACACTAGTGTAACAAATGTTTTAGTTTTGCAATCTATATATTTCCTGAAATTCAACAGAAAGCATGTCCTCAGTGTCCTGAGCATTTAAAACAAGAAGAAAACTTTATTTAAAAGGTTTTGATGGCAGAAGAGAAAAGTTAAAGTTTCCATTTCTTTCATCATTTTATCTCCCTTAGTTTTTCCACATTTCACATCTGTCTTTCTTCTCTGAATACCAAAAGTAATTGATGTTAACTTGATAGGGTCTCAAAAATAATTTAAATTATTAAAATGTAGTTCTGCAGATATAAAGAATTTATGTGTGCCATTTTATTCTTCACTGTTTCAGAATGACGTCCTGCCCTCCTACCCACGGTGTAGCCTTCTCCACTTGTCTGAACACAAATGACATCTTTTATGTGTAAAGACTAAAGTGAAGTTCCATGAATCATTTCTTTTTTAATGTTTCCCATGGAGCATTTCCTCTCCCTGTCAAATAGAAATCCACATTATTCTCTTTTAGAGTTAAACCTTAATGTATTTTCTTTTCGCTTGGAGTACTTTTCTATTTTACTTGGTTACTGCATTGCTTCTTACATCAGGCTCATTTGCTACATCACTCTAGGTGCCCACACTATCTTTTTGTAACCTTGCCTTGTTCAGGGAAATCGTTCTCTCAAAAGCACTAAGTGTCTGAAACCATGACTGTTTATAATAGGATGGTACACAGCAAGGATCCCCAAACCCCGGGCCTACTGGTACTGGTGCGTGGCCTGTTAGAAACTGGGCTGCACAGCAGGAGGTGAGGTGAGCAGGCAAGAAAGTGTTACCGCCCGAGCTGCGTCTCCTGTCAGACCAGCGGTGGCATTCGATTCTCAGAGGAGCACAAACTCCACTGTGAACTGTGCATGCGAACGATCTAAGTTGCGTGGTCCTTATGAGAATCTACCTAATGCCTGGTGACGTGGAGTGGAACAGTTTCACCCCGATACCATTTCCCCCGCCCACTCTGACCATCGTGGAAAAATTGTCTTCCACAAAACCAGTTCCTGATGCCAAAAAGGTTGGGGACCGCTGGCACAGAGAGCCAAAACATGATTATGAATTGTAAAGTTTTATAAAATTTAATAAATGAAACCTGAGAAGTAACCATTACAGTTACAAAAACAAAATAAAGTTGTACATTTTTTAATCAACCATATGTATAGTGTAATAGAAGAAATGTTTACCATGGAGTCAGAAGATGCCCCTAACAAGCTCTATGAACTTACACAAGGCTTTTCTCAGCCTTGTCGTCTGCTTCCACATTTATAAATATATGGAAATATATGAATCTTGAACTAAATGATCACTATGACCCTTCCAGGTCAAATGATCTTGATTATCAGTATATTAATAGGTTATTTTATTTTAGGTTATTTTATTTTTATCTTAGTCAACTGGAAATGGACTTTTTAATAAAAGCATTAACATGGAATGCTTCCTCTTCTTACGTGGAAACAACTCCTAAAGCACAAATTTGTAATTATGGTGCAGGAGAGTCTTATCATAGGTTGCAGATTTTTAGGCAGTTTTCCGTAATGAGTTAGAAATTATATTAGGGGAGCTTATGATGGGGTCAGTTACTTATAATGCTTATTTTGTTAGAGAATATAGTATACATTTTGATGGAATAAAAGCTATTTGGGAGGATATTGCCCTGTTCTCTCACTCCACTTCTTACATGTCTTTTATTCTACAGTTGCTGTCTAAGTCTTAATATCAAAATTTGCTCCCTATGCGGAAAATCTGTTTGGTAACTATCTATTTGCTACCTAATCTGGGTAATGTTGTAGAACAGGTCTGTTCTCCATAATATATCCCTGTCTATCCAAATCAATGTTGTCTTTAGTTTGAATAATGAATATTTAGAGAAACAATTTGAATAGAAATGGATATAACTAAAACTATTCAGTTCTGGGGTTTTGGTTAGTGAGAGTTCAAAGAGCAAGGGTTTGAATGTGAAGGAGGGGTTGGGTAATATTTTCTTGGGGAAGCAGAATGCCTTAGTGAAAAGGGTACAAGAGTTCATATAAGGAAAGATAGACTCATTCAATTTCTTTTTCTTCCACTTGCTATCTGGGTGACCTGGAGCAAAGGAATTGGCCACATATGTATGTTAGGATTCACAGTTGTAGGTAGAAGAAACAAACTCTGGCTGATTAAGTGCAACTTGATTCATTAGAAGGATTAATATATGACTCAGAGAAGCAGTAGAAGAATAAGTGTTGCATTTCCATTATAATTACATAGAATAGTAATGATGGTGTGTGGTAAACATACAATTTTTGAAGCTGGTGTTACACTGATGCTGTTTGACATTTAGTACTAATACTCTATAAACGGCTATTCGATAAGAACAGGAAGAACTTAAATTGGACATTAGCTAGTGAATGACTAGAAATTCTATCAGGATCTGTTCATTTAATTTTGTCTTGTCCTTTCAGAAAATGAATCTATAATTTATAACTCTCAGGAAAAAAATATTGAAATCTTCACATAGCTCTATTGATTCAAATTTTAAGATATATAGATGTTAAAACAATCTTATAATAAAATTATCACACCATTAAGATGGTTACCAGGAAGACTTCAGCATTTTTACTAGTTCTTTGTTTTACTTTTTTCTCTTAGTGGTTTTTTTTTTTTTTTCCCAGTCTCTCTAATTATCACCTATTCCATCTATAGGCATCTTAATCAGTTTTGGCCATACACATTTACTCAGAATTCCAGAAGAAAATTAGATTGTATAATACATGGTTGATTTCCCTTTATGTTAGCTTGACAAATAGCAAGTGACAAGATTAGCCATCCAGGAATCCACAATTAAAGACTATGGTTTAATTATAACCATGTTAATCAGACTGGCAGAATTTTTTGCCCAGTCCTCTGATAAACCAATAACAAAAATTACCAAAGTCTTCTTTGGTATAAAGAGAGGCAAGGATAATTTGTGAAAATAATAGCTTTTGCTTGAAAGATATAGAGGTTTACTCATTATGTTTTCTAGAATGTTTTCATTATATTTTCTAAAATAAGAGAATTAGCTTATGGTGTGAGATTCGGGGTTCTGGATTTTTAGAATTTTAACTGCTTTCAATGAAAAAGATTCATTATGCACAATACTGTTGTTATGACCATTTTACTTTTTTTTTTTTTTATCATTTACAAACAAGGACAGCACATGTTTTAAGTGATGCTTCTTTGCACTATCCATGACCTGTGAAACTGCTATTACCATCAGTGAAAGGATGAAGGAAATCATCTGACCTTGGAAAATAGTAACCATTTACCTTTAGTCACCAACACTTTCTTGTGATGAGATGTTCTGTTAGTGGCTGTACTTATACTTGTTATCTCAGTGTAAATGACTGTGTACTGTTTCCTTCATACACTGATTTGCAGATGTGCAAATTAGAGAAGTCTACTAGCTAGCATTCCTTTTCACCCAAACTGCAGAGGAGAGATGCTTTCACTCTGTTAGTTATATGATTACTTTGCTGAGACCATTTAATGCTAATATGCGCTTTTGTCTGCATTCATCTTTTTGCTTTTAGTTCTGCCAGCATAGTCAGTTGTTACCCCCTCCTCATGTGCCTCAGCCTTGCTATTGGAGCCATCTACCTAGCTGACTTAATCTCTATTTCCATAGAAAATAGACATGTACAAGTTTAGTAATTCCCTATGACATGGCAAAAAAAAAAAAAAAAGCCCTGTAGAGACTTGTAAACTATTCTTTAAAAGCACCTAAGAATGAAATGTCACATTGCATGATAAGAATAGTTAGTGATGCCTGTAATCCCAGCACTTTGGGAGGCCGAGGCGGGCGGATCACGAGGTCAGGAGATCGAGACCATCCTGGCTAACACAGTGAAACCCCGTCTCTACTAAAAATACAAAAAAAATTAGCCGGGCGCGGTGGCAGGTGCCTGTAGTCCCAGCTACTCGGGAGGCTGAGGCAGGAGAATGGCGTGAACCCGGGAGGTGGAGCTTACAGTGAGCTGAGATAGCGCCATTGCGCTCCAGCCTGGGTGACAGAGCAAGACTCCGCAGCCCCCACCCCCCCCCCCCCAAAAAAAAGAATAGTTAGTGATGTGACACAATTAATGGTCTATGCTAGAAGTGCCATAGTGAGGCTTTTCATATTTTTAGTCATCAGTCATTCATTGAATATGTATTAATACATGTGTGTATTAGAGTTCTCCAGACAAACAGAACCCATAATATATATAAAGATATAAAGAGAGAGACGTATTAGGAGGAATTGGCTCATGAAAGATTACGGAGGCTGAGAAGTCCCACAATCTTTCTGCAAGCTGGAGGCTCAGGAAAGCTGGTGGTATAGCTCCAGTTAAAACCTGAGGCCTGAGAAGCAGTGGAGCTGATGATGTGCTTCCAGTTAAAGGCCAAAATCCCGAGAAGCAGGCAGCTGCTAGTGTCAGTCCTGGAGTCTGAAGGCCCAGGAACCAAGATCACTGATGTCTGAGGGCAGGAGAAGATGAATGTCTCAGTTTAAGCAAAGAGAGCAACTTCGCCCTTTCTCTGCCTTTTTATTATTTTCAGGCCCTCAATAGGTTGAATGGAGCCCATTGGTGAGGGCAGATCTTCTTCACTCAGTCCGCTGATTCAAATGCTAATCCCTTCCAGGAACACCCTCATAGACGCACCCAGAAATAACGTTTTACCAGCTATGTGGGCATAGCTGAACTGACACAAAAGCTGACACAAACTGACACAAAAGCTTAACTCTAACAACAACACATCTTTCTTTCTTTCTCTCTCTTTCTTTTTCTTTTCCTTCCTTCCTTCCTTCCTTCCTTCCTTCCTTCCTTCCTTCCTTCCTTCCTTCCTTCCTTTCTTCCTTCCCTCCCTCCCTCCCTCGCTCTCTCTTCCTTCCTTCCTTCCTTCCTTTCTCCCTTTCTTTCTTTCTTTCTTTCTTTCTTTCTTTCTTTCTTTCTTTCTTTCTTTCTTTCTTTCTTTCTTTCTTTCTTTCTCTTTCTTTCATACCATTAACTGTTCAGTCAGAAAGTAAAAGTCATAATAAAGTATTTTGATAGACATTATAGTCTACATTCAGACAGACCTATGTTTGAATCCTGACCCATTCTCTTACTAGTAAGTTTACTTAGCTTCTATGAAATGGGTTTTACCTTTTGGGATTATTCTGAGGATATGATAAATTGATAAGCTTAAAGTGGCAACCAGGGTCTTACTGAATCTGGGTCCCACTCTTGGGTGTGTAGTTGTGGGAAATAAGCTACTTCCTGAAGCTCTAATGCAGATACATTTATATCGTAGATTCCCTGAGGACTGTAAATCACATCGCTATGTTGAAGATGTTTGGTGTTAAGGACATAGCAGTACAGGATTGTGATGCCATGGAGCTAATATAAATAGGATAAGTAGTTTCATTCTATGTATAGCCATGGGCAGGAGGAGGTGGATGTCCCTTTGGATATTTATGTCATACCTTAAAAAATCACATTGCTTCAAAAATAATTTTCACTTTATAATTCATTTATACTTACTTTTTTATTAAGTAACTTTCAGTCATATAAAATAAAATTTACAATGGTAATGATAATAAAAATAGAAAATCACTAACTAGTAAACAAGTGGTCAATATTATATATAATATAAAATTATATATTTTATATATAATGATATTATTAATTATTAATTGATATATATTTTAATATGATATATATTATAAATGTAAAAATACATATGGTTTTATATGTGTGTGTGTGTGTGTATACACACACACACACATATATTTGCCTTTATGTTAGTTTCCAAGCTCCTTTTAACCAGGGTAAGATTGGCAAAACAAGTTGCAGTATTTTATTATCAGAAGGGAGGACATATATATGTGTGTATATATATATATATAATTCATTCAGTTGAAATAAAATTTTTCACATGGGACTTTGAAGCAGACATATAAAAGGCAATCTCATCAATGATAAATTTATGAAAAATATAGAAGCAAATTTACTATAACTATTTCAACTACTTTACAAATTCTGAAGATACAACAAGTGTTTACAATTCAGTGAGAATTATACTAAGAAGCACTAAGATAATGTGATCCAGGCATATGTCTTTCTGGTGGTCCAAGCAAGAAGTGAATGCAAATGAGAAAATACTGATTGTAGTAGATAAAGAATGGAAAGTATTTCCCTTAAACAACTTTCCATCTGCTGAAATTTTAAGAGTGAGTGATTTGATGTGGCTTAGTAATGTCAGTGTTCTACAGTGCTAAGAATAAAATTAGATTCTTTAGAGACTGAGATGACATTAGGAAAGTCAAGAAATATATCTATTGTTCTGTCTTCATTAAATATCTTCTACCTCTATGTATGTGGTTCAAGAGAATCCCAAAATTGTGTTTAATAAAGGTTTTACAAATAGCTTTTCTACATTCCTTTATCTGTTATTACATTTGATTGGTTTTTAATTGTTTTTGATTGTCTCCCTTTCCCCTTCTTGGAGCATCTCTCGCTGTACTCTCTCCCTGACTCTCGGTGATTACCCAGGTCCTACTTCCTTAGTAGATGAGGCCTGTGTTCTTTAGTTCATCAATTGCTTACACTTCTAACTATAACCTTATCTGATTCTCAACTATCTCTGTCTCCTTGCCTTTAATCACAAATGGTGCAGGGTACTTCTCTTTCTTCAGGTCAAACCAGGTCAACTCAGGGCAATCTCCTGTGATCCTGACTTCCATCTCTTAAGAGACTGTGAGCTCTTCAAGGTCAGTTATTATGTCCTAACCACTTTGGTCTTCTCTAGCAGGTGTATAGTTGGCCTCCTTATGTCCCCTGGGCCTTACCATCTGAATCACTAAACTGGACGTTCTTTGCTTGGGCTTGCTCTAGCACCTGTGCACTCTAGTCACATGCACTGCATGTGGAGATCCTAGAGAATTAATCCCTCCCTTCCCCCAACCCAGGTTCAGCCCTCAAATGATGACTTCTAAAAGTTGGTATATACATATTCCAGCCCTCTTGCTCCTCAGGCAGGATAACTAGGATGAACGTGCTCTACACTGGCTACCAGAATTCACCAGCCTGATTCAATTCTAGTTGACCCACAGTAATGCTTAATAATGTACCTTTCATCAGTTTTCATCTTTTCCCTGTTTCTCTTTGCTTTCCACTTCCCCTACCCAGGTGTTTCCCTGGATCACTTCCCAAGGAAATAACTTGCAAACAAATCTTAGTTTCTGGGTTTGCTTTCAGGGATATATATAAAAAAAAATGTTTTCTACACCCAACTCTGAGACTATCACATAGAGCATTATAAGTGTTTGTTGAGTGAATAAATGAATAAAATTAACAAATCATGAATCTTGCCATGTTACTTGAATTCATATGAGCTAAACTGTATTTTAAGGTTTTAAATAACTCAGCTACTATTCTTGCCATATTTGCACTACACGTTATTCAGTATCTTGTCTGTATTGTAGTAAACTTAGATTATCTTTGCTATAAATTGCTTTACCATGTCAATACATATTCTTTCATGTTAATATTTTTCTAGATTGTAAAACATTCCCAGATTAAAGCACGTGCAGTCTACATGCCAGGAATGGTTCACAAATAGCAGAAGTTTAAGCTAGTAATGCCAGCTTTATCTGCAAAACAGATCACAATGACAATTGCAAGCTTCTGCTGTTGATGTTGAAAACATACGTTTGCTGTGCCTCCTAAATAAAAATAAAACCTAGTCACAGAAGACACATTTGTGCTAGGCAAAGACCTCATTGGAATCCCTTATTACTTCTCAGCTATCTGGGGCCAAAATACCCTTGAATATTTTTTTGATCATTGCCTCTCTTAATTTTTCCAAAATTGTAAAGTAAGTTAGGCACCATGTAAAACTTTAGGATTTGAAGATGCTTTTTCTCTTTGTCCTCCACAGTCCAGCAGAGGGAGCAGTGTGTCACCCAGAAAAGCTTCAGCCACACACATACTTGAGCACTGGATTCTATGAGACAGACAGATGCTTGGATTTCGGTGAAAAGTATCCTTGACATAAGCTGAGAGCAGAGGCGCAAAAATGCTAGCGAAAATGGAAAGGACAGTCACATACACAGTGAAATTTGAGAGACTGAGTCAAACATATCTCAATCAAAATCTGCTTCCTAATCAGTTCTATTAATGCACTGAAGATTCCTTGGAAAAAAGAAAATATTGTTTAGAGGAAGAGAAGGCCACCCTAGAGCATTACGACTCATGAAAATCTTCAAATGGATTAGTCAGTAGGAAGCAGTGAGTATGATGACTAGCAAATTAAACTTTGGAGTCATGCTGTGGACTCAATTCCTGACTTTCACATATTAACTGTGTGACTTTATTCAAGTGATATAATACCTTGAACACTCACACTCTTTACCTTAAAAGTGGGGATAATAATATCAACATCATAGTACAGTCATAAGTATTAAATACCATAAAAGGGCTTAGCATAAATCATCAATAGTATCTCAGTAAATGTTAGCCCTTCTTGTTCGATTGATTAAAGTTATTTACCATGACCCTCAGGAAAAGAAACAGGCCAATGTGAAATCCAGTGCAAATAATGAAAAAAGGAAAATTACACAGGTGGAAAATTCTAGGGATGAGATAAAATGATAGGTCTTGAATTTTGGAGGCTGCCCAGTGTGCATCCACCGATATTAGGCACCAGAGAGTAGAAATATGAGGGTAGGAGAGGTCACCAGAAGCAGCAGGAAGTAATAGTATTTAAGTCAAGTACTGCCTCGCTTGTACATTTATCTGGCTTGATTGTGCCAGGAAAGTCTTCTTTCACTGGGACCAAAGGGTTCAAAAAGAGGGTGAAATAGCTAAACTCAATGCAGAGCTTTCTTCAAGTCAAATTTTCTTGAGTGTACAAAACATTAAAATGTTGGCAAAGGCATATGAATACTTGGCATCAAGGGCAACTAGGAATAAAGGTAGACTGAGCTTCCTTTTTTGTGTGTATCAATCTTATTTTAGTTCTGTTTGGATATGGGCCAGCCCTTGGGACACAATTTTTCTCCTGCTCTTACTTCAAAAATCATCATTGTGTCCATTATCCTTGCCTGTCTTTCAGGAGTATCCTTCCTCTGTGTTAGATTTTTTGGAGGTGTATCCACAGCTGTATGGAACCAGAAATGACCAATGCTAAAATAGTTTATCCATGCTGCAATCTGATCCTTTCCTCTTTCTCCATCTCCCTCTGACTTCTTATTCCTCCCTTGAAAATTAACTGTTTTATTTCATAGTCCGTTGCATTTTACCTGTATTTTTCCCCTCAATTTTGTGCATGTATATCGAAGGGTTGTTGCTGTGGCAACCTTCTGTGAGGAAGCTTTTGAGCTGTTCTATTACTATATATTAAGGTAGATTATAGAAGGAATCATTTTTAAAATAGAAATTTAACCAAATTTATATCTAAAAATGTTAGAGCACCAGGACTCTGAGTGTAAAAATCTTCTGTAATTGAGTTCATTATTTACAAATATTATTAGTGTTATTACTCTTTGTGTTCATTTTTACCTTGGGTTTGGAGAACCATTTTCATTTTTTTTCCTTTTTATCCTAGAGCATACTGCAAGTCGGCATCTGGTACAATTGTTCTCAAGTGTATTTCTCAATATGTGCTATAATAAGTGTCTCTCTATTTTCTTTAGTTTTCAATAAATATTTGCTCATAATTTTTCTTTTCCTCTTCTTAATTACTCTTTATGAAGCAAAACTTCTATGTATAGAATGTGTACTGGATCCTCTCTTAGATGAATCTGTCATGTATCAGACCATCATGCCCTCAGAGTGTTATGGAACAGCTGTGATTTCTGACCGTGACTCTCGGGTAGGTATCAAGAAATAGGAATATGGAAAGTGAAGTCTAGCCTTGTGTAGTTTCTGCAGTTTTTCCTTTTCCTTCATTTCCACAGTTTCTACTTATGAACTGGAATTCTCTTGTTCTTCCACCAGTGGTGTTTATGGCACATGCACACACACAAACACACACTCCTCATTCAGAGAATTGTAGAGCTGACTAAGGAATTAACATATTGCTTTCAGTGGGAAAGGTTTAAAGTGCCTCTTCCTTATGGTTTCTTCTTCATGGCTCTCTTTTATCCTCATAGTCTACATTTTTCAAGCCTGTATCTTTAGAGTCTCATAATTTTTAGGTGCACTAGACCAAGAATTCCTGAGAAGAGAAGTTATAGCTTTCTCATTTTTAACATACCCTAGCACAGGATCTGGCACATTAAAGGCACTTGGTAAATGATTTGTTGTGTGCTGTAATGAAGGTCATACAGATACTATATACACATAATTTTAAAGAATCGTAACCATTTTATTATGTCCATTGGAATTAACAATGTGCAACACAGTGTGTCCCCCATGTAGCAGTGGCATCAAATATATGGGCGTTGGTCAGGCCTGGTGACTTATGCTTGTAATCCCACCACTTTGGGAGGCAAAGGCAGAAGGAAAGCTTGAGCCCAAGAGTTTGAGACCAGCGTGGGAAACATGGCAAAACCCTGTCTCTTGGCAAAACCCCCAAAATACAAAAATTAGCTGAGTGTGGTGACACATGCCTGTAATCCCAGCTACTTGAGAGGCTGAGGTAGGAAGATCACCTGAGCCTGGAGAGACTTAGGCTGCAGTGAGCCGTGATCACACCACTGCACTCCAGCCTGGGTGACAGAGTGCGCAGAGTGAGACTTTTTCTTTCATATGTATATATATGTATATATGAGACAGAAAATTCATATATATATATATATATATATATATATATATATATGGAAGTTAATTCAGTTCATTTTAATATTTGTTCTACATTTTTGGACTGATTGAATGGCTATCCTAAATAATTTGTCTTTGCTAGCGTTTGTATATACATCCCTGCCAGTACTGAAATGTGTTGAAGTGGTTTGGCACTTGAAGGAATAGTTCATGAATTCTAAGGAGTAAGGCCATTACCCTACCTGACATATTTGGTACAGAAGTTTTAATCTCTAAAGTATCAAGCTTATTATTAAAATTAAGGTTTTGCTTTAGTATATATTTATATTAGAAACTTCACTTTCTCAATTCTTTGAGTTTCATATAACAAAAAGCTTTAAAATACCCCAATATATAAAAAAACTTTTATGTTGATGTTCTGATTTTAATTAACCATTTAAATTATAGAGTAAGCCATTTCCCTTCCAACTTTATCAATATCAGAATTACAGAATTGCTATTTTAATTTTTTAAGGTTAATTTTAAATTTATCTTTTTGAGACAGAGTCTTGGTCTGTCACCCAGGTGGGAGTGCAGTGGTGCGATCACTGCTCCCAGGTTCAGGTGATCCTCCCACCTCAGCCCCCCAGGTAACTGGAACTACAGGCAGGCACTAACACGCCTGGCTAATATTTTAAATTTTTTGTAGAGATGGGACCTCGCTATGTTGCGTGGGCTGGTCTCAAGCTCCTGGCCTCAAATGGCCTTCCAACGTTGGTCTTTCAAAATGCTGGAATTATAGGCCTGAGCCACCATGCCTGCCTCAATTTCGATTTTAGAAAATATAAATTTAGTGCTTGCTGTTCAAAAATATCTTCCATTGTAACATTCTTTATGTGTTGGCCATCTAAACAGTATTGTCCTATGTGCTGGCAATGTATAGCTAGTGGGAAAATGAGATTTATAATTCTGTAATTTAAATTTTTTATTTCTCCTTCATCCATTTTTCAATAATTATTAAATTTGGGGTTGTGATGTTTGTTTTCCCATTATACTTTTTCTAGGAAATTATATAAAAATCATAAGTTGTTTCTTTGACCATGAATTTTCAAATATTTCAGAATAACGGATTATAGGCACATATTCATTCTAAAGTGGACAATTTGGCAACATGGTACTAGGTTTTTGCAAATGTATGTACATATGTATTCATATTTTATATAAGGCTTAAAAAGTCACACTTTTATAATCTCTGGCCCTCACCTCTTCACCTGCAAAGTGAGGGATTCAATTGAATTGTTTTTGCACAACTGCTTCTGGGCTTTAATTGCCTTATTCTGAGAATAAATTCATCTAAAACTCATGACTACCTTTCAGTTTGACTCTCAATGCTCTTCCATTACTCCTTCTTTCACTGATTATCCCCACCATTCATATTGCCTTATCAGTCAGAAAAAGAGTATTTCTTGAAACAGTCCTCTCTTTCTCATCTTTAATATGTTATTGACTCTTGTTTGAGTTTATTCTTCAATGTCTTACATATGGTCCATATCCATTTCTCCATAACAGTCCAATCCATAATCATATATTGCTTGGAAAATTGCAGTAGCCGCCTAAGGGGGTCTCCTTGAATCTCTTACTCTATTCCAATCTCCTCTTAAATGGTACTTAGAGATATCGTTTAAAATTCCAATTGCTCATGTCATTTCCTGCTTGAAACACTGCATTGGGAATAAAAAAAACAGCTATGTTAACTGGTCATGCTAGACCCTAATTAATCTATTCCTACTCCTATCTGTTTCTCCACTTCCATCTTGGTACATTTACTCATCTTTTTTCCTTCAATTTTCCATATTGGATGTCTTTCAGTTCTTCAAACATGCAATATTTTCATATGTCTCAAGTCTTTTGCTATTCTCTTCTCTGTCAACATCTTATTAGCTCATCCCATTCTACTTTTACTAGTCAACTTCTACTTAGTTTCTGCTGTCCACCCCGGAAACACTTAGCTAGGGGAGACTATTGAGACTCTGTACTAGACCAAGATGCTATTACACACTCTGCTTATTTTATATGATATCTTAATCTGCCAGAACTCATCAAAGTGCTAAATATTTTATAATTCATAAATATATTACTTCCATTAGATGAGAAGCTCTCTGAAGAAGGAATTGTGTCCATTTCATTCACCATCAGGCATTAACTATTAAGTCCACTGTAGAAGTAGAGAAGAACCACCTATTGGTAAGCTGGTAATGTGTACTGCATTACAGATGACAAGTCTCAACATAGGATACAATCATCCATCCCTGTAAAAGAGAGCTTTATAAAAATAGAATTATACAGTACATACCATTTATAACCTGTTGTATTCACCTGCAAATTCAGTAGATTGTCAATATGTACATGTTCTCACAAAAATCTGCATCGATTTTTGTAAACTCTATAGAAGTTAATCATAGGAATTGAATACTCTTACTATTTTTTACCTGTTTTGTTTGCTTTGTGTTTTGATTTTTTTATTAAAACAATTACATAATCATTCAGAAAACTATATATTTATGTACTACTTTGATCATTTCAAAGAGCAGTGTTCTACAAGTTGTTCATTTGGTGTATCCCTAAGGCAGGGGAGAATAGAAGAATGCTAGCCACACCTGAAGTGGCTCTTATAATAATGGAGGATTTTATACACACATACATAATATACCTATACTATATTTATATTATATGTATGCTATATGTGCATACATAGGTAATATTTTCTTTAAATAAAAGCAGGTAAATTTGAAATACAATTTATAATCTGTGTGTTCTGACAATACATTTGAAAGTGTTTACAAAAAATACTAATAATTGCCTTGCTGCTTCACTGTGTAATTAGTAAGATATTATTGCACTGAGTCTATAAATTTTTGAAAATGGAATCAAATTACATGGCCTATAAGATCCAACATCCTGCTAACTTTTGTATTCTTCTTTGTGTTACGATATTTCAAGAAACTAAACTCACACATATATGTATGTACAAATCACAATAACATTTTCATTACTTTATTCTTCTTTTATAATAATTCATGAAAGGAAATGGCAGATTGCTGCCAAAGGACAAAGTACGGTCTTTTCAATGTACTCTTTGAGAATATTGATGGGTCTCATCTTGGTTAGATGTGAAGACACTTGAGTATTGTGGTGGATTAAAAGAATATCTCAACTACTTGTCAATCTATTTCAAAATCCAAAGCCCTCTCTCTTTCTTTTTTCCTATGCAAATAAGCCAAAATTCACTAATAATTCATGATATCCATCAGCAAGGCTTATCACTTATGAATCAAACTTGCTTTCATTGTGTTTTGTCATGTGTAGTAAAAACAGCCCTCATTTGTCACTTTTAATATGCACAATTTTAACAAAATTTAAAATTTATGAAATAAGTTAATTCAATACTTATAATTTATTATTAAGGTTGGCAAAATTTTTGTTGATCTTAACTGGATGTTTTCTCTCTTTTTTTAAGTGTTCTTTTCTTTCTTTCATAAAAAAAATCAATACAACACATAATTTAAAATTTTTATCAGAACATTCTTTCACATTATGTCAGCATATAGCTTCCTAGGAGAAATTATTCTTAAATTTATCTCCATTTAATTAAATATTACTTTAAAATAAATATTCAAGACTTTTTACCCCAAAGAAAAAGCATATTTTTTATTGTGTTTAATTCTATTGAGCACAATTAATAAACAAAAAAAAACCTTTGATGCAACATATATTTGATGAAAAATTATGAGGTGGATTCCGATACATAAAGGTTTGGATGAAAACTATCACTCCACAGTTCTTTAGTGTCAAGTTCATTATCTAGAAGCCTCAGGTCAAGACAATGACAAACAAGATTTATGATTTTATGTACTGCATTTTCCTACCTATCTTTTCCGTCAGAGTTTAAAGTTATATATCCAATTTCTATTTTTAACCACAAATCTACGTTCTCAATTAAATTATACTTTTAAAGTGCGTATAAAAATTGATATTAAAATTACTAGCCTCACATGTTTTAATCTTTGCCGTTAATAAGTAACTCAAAGATAAAGTGTAACTAGGCTGGGTGCAGTGGCTCAGGCCTGTAATACCAGCACTTTTGGAAGGCCAAGGTGGGATGTGGTGAGGAGATAAAGAACAGCCAATGCAACATGGCAAGACCCTATCTAAAAAAAGAAGAAGAAAAAAAAGAAAAAAGCCAGGTGTGGTGGTACACATCTAAAGTCTCAGCTACTCAGGAGCCGAGGCCTGAGGATGACTTGAGTCTAGGAGTTTTAGGCCGCCATGAGGTATCAATGCCACTGCACTCCAGCACAGACAACAGAGCTAGACTGTGTCTCTAAAAAAATAAAATCAAAAAATAAAAACTGTAACTAATTGCAACATTCACAAGGGGTTGATTTGGTTTACTTGAATATATGATTCTTGGCGCCGGGGGGTGTGAATCAAAACACAGAGAAAAATTTTAAATGACAGGGACATATAAAAATATGAGTTTTAGTAAACTCTTAGGACTCACTAAGAAATCACACAATCCAGAGTAATTGTGCAAAGGAGTGGAGAGTAGCCATTAGCCCAATTCACATTGACTGCATTTTGCAGGTTCATTAATATGAAAGTTCCACATTTGTCAATCTATGCTTATAGAAATGCTACTTTTTTGATGTCAAGAACTAAATTCTCCTGTATCAAATCAAGACGCTGATAATTTGAATATATTTTGGTATGCCATCTCACTGTCTTGTAGATGACACAGGAAAGTCAAGTTTGAGAAGACAATCTTAGGATACATTTTTAGAAGTGGTTTTCATCACTGGGTCAAAGGATACTTCTAATTAAGCAATTCATTTATCTTCTGAAACTGCCCATTTGAAAGGTAGTACAATTTTATACTTTCACCACTAATCAATATGTGTTTGTTTTCCTTCCTGTAACAGCATCAGTGGGTTCTTCTGCTAATTTTTTTATATGAAACAATCTGTTATTATGAAGGGAAGGCTAAGGATAAAAACAGAAACAATATCGCAATTGACAGTGTGAATACTATAGAAAGAGTAAGGGTTTTTAACTTGGATATGATAATTAGGTGGACAAAATGTACATTTGTAATCCTCTAGACCTTTTCAACAATTCCCACCCAACTGTCATGGTCAAATCGTCAAAAGGCTGTTCAAATCAGCAGCAGAGTCTTGTTGTCAGCACACAAATTTATTCTGGAAAGACAAAGGAGTTATTCCTTCTACACAAGGACCATCAGTAAGTGCCACACATTCAGCATGGCCTAGTGAAATTATACCACATCTCATCTCAGCTCCACCAATACACCTAAAAGCTAGCATAATACATGGCAGAAAGCATACACTTAATATTAGAATGTATGGATGGATAAATGAAGGGGTTTGTATATGGATGGAAGGGCAGATGTCCTTAAGATGTTATATTGATTTAAAAACTTGAGTATATTGGGCATACAATGAAGGAAAGAGAAAATTTTGAAAACCTATGTATATTTTGTCTGGTTCTTTTATTTGCTTATGACTTTTCAAAACTTGGAATATATGAAAAATGAATTTTAATAGTTTTTTTCTAAATAGAATTACCTATGTAGTCCTGAAAAATAATAAAGATAATTTATAATATTTCACTTTTCCAGGTCAAGGAATTCTATTTTGAGGGAAAATATCCAAGGAGACATTCTAAAATTACCAGTAACAATATCAGAAAAGCAAAACCACATATTTAAATGTCCATAATTTTTTAAACATTTAATATCAGATATTTTACCTAAGTAACAGTATAACAAGATCTTAAAAGTCTTGACAAATAGTTCTTCAGGTTTTCTCAATGTGGACAGATCTAATGTCATTTATTTTCACTTTGTGAGTTATGTCTAATGTTATATTTTATACTTCAAGATGTCTTCATTCATTTAAGCGGCATTTCTTTTTATTTCAATTTATAATTAGCCTTAATCTACACGTTCATTCTTATTAAGTAGTTGAACAGATGACAATTTTTGAAGGGATTTCATAGTACACTGCACAAAAGAAGACAAAGTTTCAGAAGGGAAATTTCTGGCAAAAGTAAAAGCCTGGGTAAGGATAAAAATATGTGTCATTGCTTTTCTTGGAGCAAGTATGGTTTAAAATTATTTCTGAAATGTCTGGAGATTAATCCTCAAACGTTGTCTACATCTCCTCCCATCAACATTTAAGTCTGAGTTTCATATAACTCTATCTAGAGCTGAATCTCTTGATTAAATTAATAATAATAAAAGAGTCAGGTATAAATATACCATCATCAAATAAAAAAGGATAAGTTAAACATCATGAAATATTCAACTCCAAAAAATCAGATGCACTAGCTATTTTGGTTTTGTGAGAGAATAGTGATTAAGGGCATTAATCATATTAATTTCAAAAGCTGTTTCCAGAATTTATTTTCAAAAGTGGGAATGTCTGTCATTGGATTGAAAAACATTCAAATTAAAATTAAAAACACTTTCCCACTTAGGAAAAAACATAATTCTATAGCTTCAAAGAATATGTTATCATTTCTTGCATTTCTATTCTATTTTCTCCATATGTGATATTATTTCCATATAAATATATATTTAAACTACTATCGGCATTTTTTTTCTATTTTGAAACTAATTTTATTAAATAAAATTGGGAAATTTGGAAAAGCATACAAAGGAGCAGTTAGAATTCTTTGTGTATATATGTTTCTTGCTCTCTCTCCCCCTTTCTCCAGTCTACACTGTGCTATATTTATGACTTAATATCCTACTTATTTTCATGTAACTGAGTAATAAGATTAGTAATTCCTCATGATCTCATAATTGTTTACAACTTGAAGAAGTGGCAGCATGATATTCCATCAACTGGAAATTCTATTTAGATTGCTTCCAACTTTGCTCTTACAAACAAAACTTCAGTGCATATTTTCATAAACATATTTATGCACAAATTTCTGATTATGTTCTAGATATATGTGTAGAATAAGGTGTATGATCTTATTCTAAAAGTCTGTGTTATTTGGCAAATTGCTTTCCAGAAATATTCTGATTTATGATTATACCAACATTTGAGAGAATGCTTATTTCACAATGTGTTCGTATTATCAATCACAAACTGAAAACTATACCTCAATTTGTTTTAGTTATCATTTAAGCTGTTTATTTTGTATATTTATAAATATGAATTCCATAAATTGAATTATGTTTTTGATCCTCATAGCGTTACACTGAATGATATATATACTTTAATATAACAAGATATATGTTTTAATATATCAAAATTATGTATACATTTTAATAGATCTGTATATATTATAAATAATATGTGAATATATACTTTATGAAAAGACATTAATTTTAATCATCAAAGGATTGTATGTATACATACATCTATCTTTACAAATCTTTACACAGATTAAAGCTACATAATATCTTTGTGTTTTACTTATTTTCATCTAACAGTGTAACATTAACAATTTCTTATGGTTTTTAACATTGTTCAAAACAATGAAAAAAGGCAGCATAATATTCTATCAATTGGAAATTTATAGTGAGATTGAGTGAAATGTAAAACTTAAAATAATAAAATGACAAACTAAAAAGATGTGCAAATATAAAAACAAAAACTTTTTTGTGTTTTCCCTTCCCTGACTGCCTTTGGTTTGAGTCTCTGGCAAAGGCTGGCTCTCTTGCTGTAGGATGCTCTGAATAAATAGGTTCTGTTCCCATTTTGTGATTTTCATTTCTTTTCATTGTAACATGTATCTTGAACCTGAATACTTTGTGGATTTTTGAAATTAGAATCATATAAAATTATCATCATATATCCGGCTGTAGATTGGTCTTTTATCATTAGTTTTGTGTGGAATTCTGTGATTCCTCTTGATTTGTATATATTTTTTTTCCATATTATGTCACATATTGTTGCTTCTCTTTCTGTCTTTAGATTTCTTACTTGCAAGCGTCATTCTTGTTTAGGTCTTAGATCTCAGAACTCTGTATCTTTTGTCTTCTCTGTCGTAGTTTCAACATGTCCTTTACTTTCATATTCTTTTCTGTTTTCTCTCCAAAACAGTTTGTGTACTTTTATTCTACTGTTATTAGATAAATTTGATTCTGTCACTGTCTTTTGGGATTTCCTATACTCTTATTTCATCACTCATTCTTTTAGTCTCCCTGATCCCATTTAATTTAGTTTTCATCTTACCATTATCTAGACTATGTGCTTTACAATGGTTTTGAGAGCATCATGCAGAAATCTTCCTTTTTTCCCCTATTTACTTCATGTAAGTACTTTTAAAACTGCTAGCTATAACACTAAGAAAACATTATAAAATCGTGGTTAAGAAAGAGATGGTCTTCAAGGTAAAATAACTAAAACATGACCTCTGGCTCTTCCTAATTGTGCTGGGTTGGGTCGAATTTCTTAATTTTCTCACCTGAAAGTGGGAATAATAATACTTATCTGTTTGGGACCACTGCAAATTTTTCTTTTGAAGTTTGTTCATGAGGTGGGCACTAATCAAAATATTTTTCCCGTCTTCTGTTTGTTCGTCTGTGACAGTGATTCTCAAATGTCTGCAGGCATAAGGACCACCTGGAGCACTTGTTAGACCACTACCCACCCCAGGTGGCTGGGCCCCACCAACAGTTACTAATTCAGAGGGTTGGAAGTGGGCTGGTGAATTTGCATTTCTAACAAGTTCCTAGGAGATGTTGCTGCTGGTGGTCCTGTGATTCTGAGTGCACACTCTGAGAACCTCTGGGGTATGATTTTTTATTGTTGTTTTTTTGTTTCCCAAAGATGGGTTACTTGATGCATAACTCAAGCCTCTGCTTCTCAATACATTATCAACAATAATAAAGTTAGTGAACTTCCTTCTGCCTGTTGTTATAAGATTTTAATTTGATCTTTCATTCCAGTGCTACTATTTGGTTTTGGCTTTTTGGATATATTCACAGGCATTTTAAAGGAAGTGTAGAGGACAAGTATGACAACTGGAAAATCTTGCTACCATATTAACTAGGGAGTCCTATATTTCTGTACAAAATTACACCATATGTACAGTTGATTTGTTTTTTTCTGATTATAAATTCATTGTTAAAAAGCCCATGTTTTAGACCCAGGTAGTGATGTATTATAACTTACAACTGACAAATGGTAAGCAAAAAGTAGTTTTATTCTTATTTCTTTGCATAGCATTTTATACTTTACAAGTTGGTTTCACATATGCAATCTCACTTAACTATCACCACAAATATGTTATTTTTGTTCTATTTTCGCCATTTAAAAGTAAAAGTACCCTGTTGGTAAATGATAGAACGTGGCAAAGCAGAGCTTATGTCCGTGATTTCTAATTCCAAGGCTCTCTCAACCACAGAGCAGGTAGTGTGTTACAAAGTTCATATAAAGACCGTAGGTGAACAACACTCTCAAAAAAATAGATAACAAAATATGCCAGTCTGTAAAATATTCAGGCACAGAACTATTTGCCACATCACATTTGGCTCCTGTCCTCCTGAGCTGTCGCAGCATACAAAGCCAATTTAACCTTGAATCTCGTATTTATGGTGATGGGTACTACAAAACCTGAAAGCCATTGTGAACAATTTGGCATTGTTTATATGACTTTTAAAATACCAGTTAAAACTTTGTGGACTATATGTGCACATATGTAAAATTTATACATATTACTTATATAGTATATGTAAGTATGTAGTACTATATGTAGTATGTAGTATATGTAAGTATGTAGTACTATATTTTATACATATTACAATATAAGTAATATGTATAAAAAAAAGAAATACACATAATATATATGGCATATACATATAAGTATATACATATGACTTATATAGTATATATAAGTATATAGTACTATATACTATATTTTATACATGTTATTATATGTCTTATGTATAAAAAGGAAAAGAAATACACACATTATATATACATGCCTATTATATATATGCTATATATGCCACATATATATAATGTGTATATTTCTTTTCCTTTTCTTCTGAAAATGTCCAGATTGCCTATATATATTATATAAGTATATATACTTATGTATACTTATATAGCATATATTAATATATAGGCATGTTATATATATATAGGCATATATATACACACGCACACATATATAGTTTCTGTGTGTGTGTGTGTATTTCTTTTCCTTTTCTTTTCTCCTAAAAAAGTCCAGATTGTCTCCTTTGGTGGTTTAGCCAAATCAAAGGGGAGAGATTATAGCATATTAAACAGTTCTAAAATGTGTCTCTATTTCCCATAATTTTTGGGCCTACTTAAGTTTCTGTAGTACAGTGCCTTCTCCTTTTGCTTGCAGTGTTGGTGAGGAGATTCCATTTCTAGCCTCTCTTCTTTTGTATCGAGCTTTCTATTGTATGAATGTTTCATTCTCTTCCTCAGCATGACTCACATAAAGAGCTTTTCCCTACCTAATATGTTAACTGAAGGTGGAAGTTGGACTTGATAAATTATGAAAGCATCAAGTGTTGGATTTCTGAACTTGTTTTTACTGAGAAATGGGATTTTCAAACTTTAATGAAATGTTTTCTATCTTAAGCTCCTGGGATTTTTACTATTTAGCTTTTGAGATTGGATGAGGATATGTGATTTTTATTTGCCAATGAAAGATTAATTTTTTTTTGCTAAGAGGTTGATTTCATTCTGCCTTCTGAACATATTTTACTTCTTAGCTCCTGTAGGAATTTGAAAACTGGATAGCATTCCATCTCATGGTGAGTTGGCAAGGATCCCTTCACTTGATATGGAGATATTCTAGCAGTGAAAGCATAGTGTTTTAATTCATACCCCCTAAGCTGAAATTTTCTGCTTACTCCTCAGAGTAACCTTTTCAAAGCTCATATAAATAGGGGCAAACTGATTATTAAAAAGCATTAATTATACTTTTAATTAGATGATTCAATCACATATAAAGCTATTCCAGGCTCCCTTTTGGGTGACTGTATAACCTACTTCTGCCTTCTCTGGGAACTACTCATTGCAGTTTCATTTGTATCATGAAATATTGTCGACCTGACCGTGACTTACTGATTAAGTTGGATTTCTGTTGGACTTCAAAATAACCTTTAATAACTTACTCATATTTTTTTTTAGGAAGTGCAAAATTTCACTGTTTTAAACATTCAGGTCTTTGTTTGCTCTTGTGTATTTTTAAAATTCATTTCGAGTATATACAATTCAATGACCAGATAATGTTAAATTAATAGAAAGTAGGTAAAGATAATTTACAGGTAGATAGTTTCTGAATGTTTAAGATGATTATGCACAAGTGCAAATGGTATGAGTAAAGGCTAAAATACGTTTCATCATTGGAGACCATGTGTTGACCTCAGCAATGGGCAATGAATTTTTTCACCTTTTTCAGAATGTCAACAGTTCTCCTTGGACAATAGTAAAGAAGAGGCAATTTGCATAGTGGTCAAATCTGTAGGCTGTGAAGCTGGACTGAATTCTATCACTAGTTCTGTCACACACTATCTGTGTGCCATTGCACAAGTTGTTTACATATTCCATAATTCCCTTTCTCTAAAATGTCTATAGTAGCAGTGTTTTATTTCTGAAGATTCTTATGAAATTCAACATTCAAACATTAAACATTCAAAGTGCTTAAAATAATACAGTACTGGACACATAGGAAGCATTTAATAAGTTATTATTACTATTATTATCATTATGAATGCAGAAAAAATCTAGCCTAGATTTTCCCAATTATTTTTCTTACTAAAAATGTTTAGAATTTGGATACAATATATACATATGCCTCATATAGGCTATGGAGTTTTACAGCGGTATTCTAACATATATTCATGAGGGAACGTGTGTTTTATTCAGAACTGTCTCATGATAACAATTTGGGTTTCATTTCCATCAGGCTAATTTCATCATTTTCATAAATGTGCCAGGCCTACATGGAACTCACAAATTATATTCTCATAAACCATAAAAAGGCTCCTGATCCTTGTGCCAAGACCTTCATGCAAGAAAGGGCAAAGCAACACTTTAAAAGAATTTAGCACCATTACAGAGCTACTTAGAAGTACAGCAAGTAATATTTGGCTGCAAACCATCATCTCTGTTAGGAAGCTTGGAAGCAGAATATCACCGTGTCCCACAAAGTGTTATAGCACATATGGTAACTGTTCTTTATGAAGGCTCCTGAGAGGTGATCTGTGTTTGGGTCAAGATAAGTTTGGCTCTGCCTTCTCTACTCTGCTCTGGCAAAACAGCCCCCATTATTGTAAAATGATTTTATTCTGGGAAAAAGATATCCCAATACAGCTGTAGTGGAGAGACATAAAAGGCATTTTATCCATTTATGTTTTTATTGATTTTATTTTAACCCTCACTGCATTTCGTAGATATGCATATCACGTATTTTCACCTCTAACAGCCTTAGGATGTGATAGTTTATTTTTTAGAGTTCATGCTTATCTTTATTTTTCCCTTTAGATCTAGGAGATAGCTATGCACTTTTTGAGCTTTTGGCTGGAAGAGGAGTTTCCAAGTTATTTGTCCTTGAGGATAACCTGGAGGGTGAGGTAGGATTGCCAAGTGTTACAGAGTGATGATAAAGTACCAGTGTAGTCCACAAACTAAAATCAATACAAAATCTAAGTCTTTCCTGAGAAAGTGTGGGTCTCCCTCTGGGTAGTGCCCTGAGAGATTCTGTAACTCTTTTCTTTCACAAACTTTTATTAAAACACTATTATGTTATCTGGTGTGAGAGATGCATGGGTGAATAATGCATCCTTTTTCAGAGCATTCATGATTTAAGAAGAGATCTAGAGTCACAAACCTAAATTATAATATGATGCAGAACATGTGATTTGAATGCAAGACAAAGAGAGATGAATTCTGCCTGGGAGGTGAAATTGTTGCTGAGGAGAGGTTTTCAGAGAAGCTACTGAGCTAGGTGTTGAAAATAAGTAATTATTTTCTAGGCTAAAGAATGGAGCTGTTTTCCAGAACAACTAAAACTGAGGAAGAAACATACCTAACTGCATGGAGTCAAGAGGAAACATGGCATGCTTGTGACAACAGTGAGACATTCAAAGTGGTCAGAATCTAGAAACGTGTGAAAGAAGAGTAGTAGAAGAAAATCAGCTTAGAGAGGTGGAATGGGTTCTGGTTATGAACAGCTGTGGAAGACATACTGAGCAATATGATTATCCTGTAGGCAAAAAGAGTGAATAACGTTTTGATTTAGAAAGATTACTATGGCAATTGTGTCTGAAGGATAGACAGAAGGGGAAAAAATCACGGCTGTGTGTTCAAACAACAGGTGATTGCAACACTCCATGTGATTGATGACAAAGATCTTGGCATATACAGTTACATAATACAAGGCAGAGAGGAAATAAATTCAGAAATATTTTTGGAAGTATAAAAGACAATTATGCATCACTGATTGGATAACGCTGGAAATGAAAGTGGAGAATTAAACTTTCAAGTTTGAAGCTGGGTGAATGACAAGAAATGAGAATATAGGTGGACAAAGAGATAATACTAACATAGATGAGAATTTCAATATTGGACTGCTAATTTTGAGAAGCTGTTGATTCAGGAGGACATGGCATTTGGAAATAAGAATTTGGTGCTCAGTAGTGACGTCTGACATGGATATGTCAACACAAAGAGGGTCATTAGAGTGGGGGGAAGATATGACATCAACCGAGGAGGTACTTAGATCAAGAGCAAAATAATGACCGTGAACAGAATGATCCGATCTAATCATATGATTAGAAAGAAATGCAGAGAATGGTTTTCTTAAATGACGTGCTTTTGTATACAATGAACAAAAATACTGATTTAACCTGGCTTAATCAGGAGAGGAATTAATTATCTATAATGGGAGAATGTCCTTACCTAAACTTCCCAATTTTTGTCACAATGATTTTTCAACTTTAAACTCTTTCCTAGCCTGGCTTCCCTTATCAGTATAAAATGGCTGCCAGAAGCAATTGGGATTGTATGCATGAGAAGAGAGAGACACAGAAACACTCCCATAGCCATGAAAATAAAATCTTCCCTTCGGATGGATAGGACCAATTAAACCATCCAGTCATCCTTGGTCAAATAACAATCACTAGGGAAAGGCCATTTCAGCTCATTGACAGGTAGTAGAGGATTAACGTAATTGGGAATAATTAGGACCTACTGAAAATAACGTACAGTAGAGGTGAAAATGCTGTGAACTTTTCTTGAGTCACATAGGACGGATGAACTGGGAGGGGTAGATTCCTAGATAAAATGTTGATTATATTAGAAAGGAGTAATAAAGGCAGTGGTTTCTAGATAAGCAATCAACAGTCTCTACCATATTGGTATTGTAATAGAATGTGCATTTTATGCTTACCAACAATTACTAAAGTGCAGTCGTGTTGGTGTGCACTCTATATAGGAATTTTTTAAGGGATTAAAAAATTTTTAGGGCAGAAAGGAAACAGGACTGTATGTGGGACAATAACACCATGACACCACATTCGTTTTCTGAGAGCAAGACCTCAAGCACTATTTGTAGATAATATCTCACATTTGTTAAGTGCTGTCTCAGTCCTAGATATTTTGCAAAGTTCTTTACATGGGTTATCATAGTTAATCCTTTTAACACTATGATGCAACAGGTACTCAACTTTCCATAGGACCATATCGCCAGCATATGATAAAATCAAGATTCGAACTCAGTCCAGATCAAAGAATTAGGGTCTATTCTTATTTCTGACATTCCTGTCATCATGTTCCACCACGAATCACCACCAACAAATGAAACAGGGGTTTAAAAACTATGTGAGTTATTGGGTACCCCAACAAATGGGTTGAAGTTTAAGATGGTTTGGGCAGAACCCCAGCTGACAAAAGGAGCAGCAGCCAACATGGCTGAGGTTAAGGGAAGGACACTGTGTGACCCGCAGAGAGATTTCCAGGGTTTAGCCCCATATTTGAGGCCAGATAAGACTAACGTCAAACCCGCCTGCTGAGGGGTGGAAGTTCCAGTCTGAGCTTGGATTGGCTCAAGGACTTGGAGAGAACTTTCGTGTAAAGAACATAAATATGTATGTATGTATGATTGCAAAGATCTAGGGAAGATGAGTTTTGATAATGCACTCAGTCACCAGTTGCTAAGTCACCAGTTGCACCAACACTGACTAATTGACCGACACTCAGTCACCAGTTGCACCAACACTGACTAATTGCCAGCCACCAGCCTCTATCCTCCCCTATAGAGGAGTTTACCAATAACCTCACCAACAGGTTAAAAACCACGCCAGTTCCCAAATCAAACCTTTTAGCACACGAACTTTTTCTCAGCCTCTTAACTTCCTTACTTCAAGTAAGATGAGCCCTTTTTCAATCCCATAGTAAGGAATTTTTTTTTTTTTCATGTAATTCTGACTTGTAACTTAATATACTAATGCTATCCACTGAGTCCTCTATTGTTACCTGAGTTGCAAATTCAGGCTGGGAACATGAAGGAGGGGCCAAGATAGGCTCCTCTGGCATCCTTGTCCCTCCTTCATGTTCCCAGCCTGAATTTTTCTATATCCTCTAGTCCATGGTTCAGACCTTATTTTGAGATTCTGTTTCAAAAACTTCTAGTGTTCCTCAAACTCCTTTAAGAACTAGACTTCTTCTGGCCCTCTCCCTAGGAACTTGAATCCTGATTCCCACCACAGTCATGTGTTGCTTAGCAACAGAGATACATTCTGAGAAATGTCTTTAGGCAATTTTGTTGTGTGAACACCATAAAGTGTACTTACACAAACCAAGATGGTGTAGCCTACTACATACCTAGGCTATATGGTAAAGTATCTTGCTCCTAAGCTACAGATCTGTACAGCATGTTTCTGTACTATATAGCAATTGTAACATAATGGTAAGTATTTGTGTATCTAAACATAGAAAATGTACAGTAAAAATACAATATTATAATCTTATAGTACCACTGCATAGGTGATCCATCATTGACAGAAAGATAGTATTTCAATTTGCCCCAGGTCTGAATAGTGAGTGGAGGCTTCCAAACAGCTCACCTGCTATGTTGGATATTCATTACCCTTCAGGCCCCTTCTAAGTACCCATGTTATCTCAGTGGGCAATTCTAAGGCTAAGCCTAGGCTCTTCTCTGTACCTGAGATATCTGACAACAAATAAACTACTCTGCATCACAGATGAACGCTAAGAGAAAGCACATGTCATTGTCAACCCCACTGCCTCTGTAGCCATAAATAAATTTTCAGAGTTCTATGATCCAAAAATGTGTCTATATCACTGATTTTAAAGAATACATATTATCTGACATATACTAGTGGCTTAATATTTTATTTATTTTTTGCATAGAATTGAATTGATTTTTAAGTCAAAGGCAGGAAATACATAAAAATAACTTTGAGGAGAAATTTGTATATTACTTGGACTCAATCTATTAGTTAATTTTACTTTATGTAGTTGAAAGCGGAATAATTATGCAATTTTTAGAGCTAACACAAAATTCAGCCTAGCTAGTACTATTGAAGAATCACGACTATTCATATCTAGCAGCTAGCAAATGTTAAAAAAAACAAAGCAAGTTAAAAACTCTAGACGCCATCTATAAAGAAAAAGATACATTTTCCAAACCACCTTAGCAAATCTGAATTTATGTCACTAACTTGGTTACAGATGAATCTATATTGCCTCTGGCTTGACAGGACCTCAGACTGCAATAACTTTGGTTCTTCTGGGATTCTGAGGCTGTCAGGAGGCCAATATTTGTGAAACATTTTAGAGAAATTATGTTTATATCAAATAGGGACATTGTTCATACTATTGATTGTGCTTGATTTATGTTTTGTCTTTTAAGCCAGGTAAATGTCGGAAACTACTCTTTTTAATAATTTTCTTCTCCCTGGTCCACCTTATATACAGGATGGTTCAAAAAGAATCAAATGCTTTAAAACACGTATTACTCAGTAAGTTGGTCATATATAAGCATGGAGTAAAAAACAATTTGAAAAGAACTAACACAGGTATTGTTATACATGTTCAATATTTGGTCTTCATTGCACGGGGCACACATCAATTTTTGTGGCCTAATCCTATATTCCTTCCTATATCCCTTTTATTACACATTGTCTTTTATATTGTAATAGAATCCACCCTGTGTGTTTTTTACTCTCTCTAAAGCTTTGAGAAAGAAGTGGTAGAACATTAAGGTTATTAATTTATTCCTCTCATAAAGTCTTGCGGTTTGCTATCTCAGGATCTGAGTGGCAACTCTCTAAGTACTTATTGCATGCAATTGTATATACATATTTTTATTTTCAGATATATTACTCATCATAATTAGAGGTGATTATGTCTTATTACAGTAGAATAAAAGTGAAAATTGTTATATTTCTTGACCACTGTGAGAAGATATTGAACAAATATTTATCTTTCTGATTTGGCAGACAGGGTGAATAATTTCTTGAATATTGAAGGTAGGTAATAAAATAAATTAGCTTATTCTAATTGTAAATACGTTACATATAGCAAGAATAAAGGAAATTGGGAAACTGTAAAAAGTAATAATTTTTGAGATGCTATGAGAAATTAGCACTTTTGTTATCATATGTTGATATACCTAGGAAGTCTTGAAAATGACCTTTCTCAATAAGCAGTCCTAATCCAAAAATGCATTGCAAAAGTGAATTATAAAAGTAGCAAGTAAAAAAACTGCGTAATTTTATATAACATAGATCATTAATTAGTTTATCACCCACAGACATAAAGTAGATGAAAGACAGTTAGAAGTTAGCAATACAAAGATGACTAGGAGAATCAAATTTGTTATTAAAATGCAAAAAAAGTATGTACACTTTACCATAATTTATAAGGAAGACTTGATTAATGGCAACCCCTCAAAATTGCTAATTTCATAGAACTGAATGATACACTATATTTTTACATCGGTGTTTTGATATAGTAGATAAACACAGGGATTGTTGTGTCAAAACCATAAGAGAAGATGTCTTTGACTCAACTTCAGCTTTACAATGTAATCTCTAATTTTTATATATGCTTTACTCTTTATTCGATGTTTTAAAACCATCCAGATTTAGTCTTTGAATGGTCCAATATCTCACGATTGGAAGTCTTAAAATTATTTAGCAAATGTTTACAGTCATGTGATAACAAGCATGTAGTTATATTATTGATATTATTGATATCTGTTCAATATTATAATATGGAAACATAAGATACATTTAAAAAATCATAATGCACATATTAAAAGAAAACAACTATAAAGTCAGAATAGTCTCTAAAAGTCAAATGAATGCATTTAGCTTTGCTTCATGCTCTGTGCAAGTTGCAAATTTTTAAAGGTTTCCACGATATGAAATTCACTATAGCTGTTAGAGAACAGAAGGGAAGAGACACATTAATACTTGGAGCTTGATTTTAAACACACATGAGGTAATTATTACTAGCCAAAGCCACCAACCTTGGAGGATTTGGAAAATCTAAAATGTTATCTGGAAGATTAGAATAATTGGTTATTGAAGAGTTATGGTGGAAAATGAAAATATCATTTTAGTACGGTAGAAAGATAGTAATGAGAATGATTACAATTACTGAAATAAAAGCCAATACTATATACTTGCAGAATTACTTTTTCTGTCATTTCTCGTCTCCTAGGAATAGATTCCAAGTATATGCTGTATATAAGATTGCCTAAAATTATCATGTAAACCAGGACACATCTGATCATGAATGGAAGTGTTATTAACAATTACTACAGACAAACTGGCATGTGTGTTCATCCTAGGTGGCAAAGGTATTTTCAAAGACAGCCTAGGCTAAAATTCCATTCCAACTGTTACCAGTAGTATAACCTCTCTGGAAATGTTGCTTAGTTTCTATATGCCTCAGTTTTCTCCCCAGTGTAATGGAAATAATAACAACACGTTGGGTTGTTGTGTGGAAGTCTGGTTGTTGTGTGGAAGTCTCCTAAAATTACCATATTGTTTACTAATTTACTTTGTTTTACTAATTTACTTTGTTTCATTGCTGCTTTGTGTTCCATTAATAAATACACATAAGTTATTTACCCAATTTAGATTGTTTCCAATATTTTATTGTCATAAACAATGCATCATGTCATTGCACTTATGTCATTTCACACATGTGAATATAAAGATGTTTGTAATTTCCTAGATATGGCATTGCTGTGTCAAAGGGAATATGCATTAAAGGTGTTTAATGAACAAACTCTAAAGTTTGTTCTTTGTTTTTAAATACATAAAGATATACATTTAGTTGTGTCAGAGGTAATCTAGTCAAGGAATCATGTCATGTACACATTCAGTTCTGAACGTTTCCTGTTATAAGGATTATTGAATTTTTACATGCAGAGAATTTCATCATGGCTTTAATACTGCATTGCCAACTGATGATGTCTCATTACATATCTTCCCCAATATTTTTTCTACTTGTTCAACTTTCATTTTAAGCTTTTACTTTAAAGAAGTATCTGATAGAATTTTGTGTTTGAGATGGGGAACGAGGAATAGAAAAGGAAGGTAAAAGAACATGGAAAATTGGTTATAGTAGAGGAAAGATACTTTTATAACAGTAACTGCCTTTTTAATTCACATCGTTGAGATGGGGCTCAGAAACAATTCATTTTCTTCATGCTTGGCAGAATCATTTACCTTTATTAAGTGGTTTCTTGAGCCTTGCTCATATCACTCCTAAGATGGCACACTCATCCCAATGGTGTGCTTTTCATATTAAGTACCAATTTCTAGCAGCTCACAGTAATTGATGCTTGTTAACTATATAAAATGAAGTAAATGAATTGAGGCAAAAATCAATATATCACTATTATTGCTCAAGTAAACTTTAAAAAGCTGGGCAGGGAAAGGCCCTGGAAAGATCTGAGTCCAGTCACACATACCTGGCCTTTATGGTCAGATTCTTTGTTATGGATGTCATGCTTTCAACCCTTGTTTTCAAGCGTTTTAGTGGGCTCTAGCGTAGCCTTTAGTCTAAGGCTGGTTTAAGTCCCAAGGTATGACTCTAATCAAATCTTTACTGGATGTCCCATGTGTCCAACAAGATGTCTTCACTCTGACTGGTGGAAACTCGAATGACTCTTGACCTTATGTGAGTTCTTGAAATTATTTGACTTACATTATTTTTCTTTCTCTTGAAGTTCTTTTCTACTCAGGCTTGTAGGCTTTCACTCTATATGTGTGAAGATTAATATTCATCCATGTACTATAGAACACTCTGTGGTCCTGATGATCTCTGCTTCTTGTTGTTAAGCCCTTATTGTCCCCTGTCCTTGAGCTTGGGCAGGACTTGTGACTGGAATCTAGCCAATAAAATATGGCAAAGGTGATGAAATGTCAATCTCACAAATACTTATGCTATGTAAGACTTTTTCTTTCTTTTTTTTTTTTTTTTTTTTTTGAGAGGGAGTCTCGCTCTGTCGCCCAGGCTGCAGTGCAGTGGCACAATCTCGGCTCACTGCAAGCTCCGCCTCCTGGGTTCATGCCATTCTCCTGCCTCAGCCTCCCGAGTAGCTGGGACCACAGGTGTGTACCACCACGCCTGGCTAATTTTTTGTATTTTTAGTAGAGATGGGGTTTCACCGTGTTAGCCAGGATGGTCTCCATTTCCTGACCTCATTATCCACCCGCCTCAGCCTCTCAAATTGCTGGGATCACAGGTGTGAGCCACCGCTCCTGGCCTACATAAGACTTTTTCTTAGCAGGCTAGAGAATAGACTCATTCTCCTACTGCTCTTAAAGAAGGCAACAACTGTTTTTGGGAACTCCTTATCCAGAGGGCCATCAGGCAGGGAACTATGGGTGGCTTCTAGGGCCTGAGAGTAACTTCTAGCCAACATCCTGTAAGAAGCCAGGGTGCTCAGTTCTATGGCCACAAGGAAATAAATTCTGCCAACAACCTGAGACCCATCTGAAGCATATCTTTCTCCAGTTGAGCTTTGGATGAGGCCACAGCCCCAGTAGTCCCTGATTGCAGCCTGGTGACACCATGAAGCAGGGCCTGCATTTACTACTTTAAAAAAGCTGTGAGATAATGAATGTGCATACTTGTAAGCCACTATATTTGTGGTAATTCATTATGTAGAATAGAAAACAAATATAAATCCAAATGTAGATTTCTGGAGCTCTGTGTCTGACTAGCTATCTCCTTTCTAGTACACTGCCCTGCAAATTTTGGCCACCTCTGGTGCTCCAACCTCTGTCCCTGCAAAATATCAAGAGTGCCTACTTCTGTTTTTGTTTGACTATTCTGCATCGCAGAAATTGCCACCAGGTCAAAAACTGAAACAAATAGAAGGTTCATTTATTTGTGTCTCTTCCTGCAAGGATCACAGTTTTGTGCTGTGTGTTGCTCGGTGTTTTAAAATAGTTGTTTATGTATTTTCCTCACTTTTTTGTTTATGTCTAGCTCTGTTATTCCATCATGTCAATAAGCAGAACTTATCTTCATTTTTGAAAACTACATTCTCTGAGTACCAGTTTCTAGGTTGCAAGTTCTTCCCTTTCAGTGCTTTGAAGAAAGTCTATAATATTCTAGCTTCCATTTTATCTGCTGACAACATGGCTGTTACTTTTGTGGTTGCGTCTTTGAAGACAGTGTCTCTCTTTCTACATACAATTCTTTTTAAGATTCTCCCCTTGGCATTTATGTTCAGTTATTTTGCTATGCTATTAATGTGATTTTCTTTTTATTTATTGTGCTTGTGGTTTGTATTGCTTCTTAAGTCTGTGGCTTCATGTTTTTCACCAGTTTGAGAAAATTATTAGGCATTATCACTTCATCTATTTCTCCAGCATTGCGTTTTATCTCCTTTCTGGGACTTCAATTGCACTTATGTTAGACATTTTCACTTACTCTCATACTTTATTGTTATTATTATTTCGGTATTCCTCATCCTTTTGTCACTTTGGGCATCATTATGGGTATTTTCTTCTGCTCTGTATCTTAGTTTAATAAATCTCTTTACAGCCATTGGAGTTCACTGTTAAACCAGTATTTTTGAGTGAGATCTTAATTTCAGTTAATGTTTTTTTTTTGGTTATGCACTTTGCATTTGGTTATGTTTTATGGTTCAGCTTCTTCCAGACATCTAAATCTTATATTTTATTTCCTTGAGAACATTAAGTAAAGTTATGGTGACTCCATTATATGTCTTCCTTCTGTGACAAGTGCTATTAATATCCTGCCCATATCCCCTAGGCATTTATCTCTAAATATCCAAACACTCTTCAAACATCTCTTCCTCCCAGCCTTTTCCCCTTTGTTTTGCCAGTTGGAGTATGCTTGGTTTATGCACAGTGCGAGCTGCAAACATTGAAGAGGGAATGCCTGTAGAAGTAGCCCTCATCCAGTGATTTTTGGGAAGCTGATGGACAAATACAACAGCTTTCTCATTCCTTGGTTGGGATAACTCTGAGACATGTTTTAAAATGTCTCCTTAAGTTTCCCAGAGAGATTGAACTCCAGTTATCCTTAGAGAGAATTGGTTCAGTAATGCATCTGGCATGAGTTTTCTTTTTTCTCTCTTTCTTACCTTTTCACTACTCTAGAAAGTTTTCTAGGAACAGGTACGTACTCTCAAAAATATTTGTGCTTGATGCCCGTTCTCAGGATCTGGTTCTGAGGGAAACCCATATCACTTTGCTTCGTCTTCCTTTGTACTTTGCTAATTTTGATTGAGAGTTAAACATTATATATTAAAAAAATACAAGAAAAAAAACTGAGGTTGTGAATGATGTTATCTTCCTTTAAAGATGTTTATCTTCCTTTAAAGTTGATTAAAGTTATTTGCTGGCGAGGAAACTTGTCTAAAGCAGATACTGGCAAACATTTTCAGTACAGGCCCAGGTAGTAAGTATTTTAGGTTTTGAAGGCCCTGTGATCACTTCTGCAACTGTACCAAGAACACAGCCATAGAGAAAAAATAAACATTAAAAATTAAAAAAAAAAGAATATGGCTGTTATCAAGTGAAACATTATTTATTTGTTTATTGTATTTATTTTATTTTATTTTTAAATGGAGCTTTGCTCTTGATGCCCAGGCTGGAGTGCAATAGCCTGATCTTGGCTCACTGTAACCTCCGCCTCCTGGGTTCAAGCAATTCTGCTGTCTCAGCCTCCCGAGTAGCTGCGATTACAGGCGCCAGCCACTACGCCTGGCTAGCTTTTGCATTTTTTAGTAGAGAAGGGGTTTCAGCATGTTGGCCAGGCTGGTCCTGAACTCCTGACCTCAGGTAATCCACCCGCCTCAGCCTCCCAAAGTGCTGGGATTACAGGTGTGAGCCACCGTGTCCAGCCTGAAACATAATTTTTAAAGATAGGTAGAGGGCCAGAATCTACCTATAGGCAAATCTGTAGTGTCCTGACATCTGGTCTGTAGGAACTTGCAATCCAAGATAATTTTAATCAAATCAGGGATTTGGTTGAGCTAATTTAAAGCTGAGCATCTGTCTCTGTGAGATCCAATATAGTTCTGATTGATGCTTGTTCCTGATAGACTTGGAAACCTCCTATCCAAAGCCTGGGAAGATTTTCAGTACTTCCTCCAATCCTTAGTAGCATTTAATCTTAAATTTGTAACCTTAGTCTTGGTAGTATTGTAAGTCCTTACCCTCTTAGAATTTTTTTTTTTCTTCAAATATTGATGGTATCTCTTTGAGGAAAGCAATCCCAAGTTCCGGGTTACCTCTTTGGTTTTCTTCTTACCTCTGGTGGTCTTAGCTCATAATTCTTTACTGTCTTTGCAGCTCTCTAATGCTTTTAAAGAAGTTTTTGTTGTTGTTGTTGTTTTTAAATATTTTGAGCAATTCTAGCTCTTCTCAATGAGAGAGTTACTCCATATTCCCCAGTCTTTCATTATAAAAATTGGAACTCCTCTACTCCCCTGTAGTCATCTGTGGTCAGGATCTCTCATTCCTTGAAGATTTCTTGGCTCACTGTCAATAATTCTTGTACTGCAAAATTAATACATATGATTTTTCCAATCTACTGCCCTTTCAGACACTTGCCCTTGTTTTTGCCAGTGATTGTGTCCTCCACCATGAATACACTGATCACTTTCATGATTGCATCTTACCTAGATATTGTCATTATTAAGAACTGCTTTTCAACCTCAGACCAATATCCCTTCTCTTTCTAGTTTATTACCTCTGGAATCCCTCCTTGACCTTTAATGATCTGTTTTTCTATTTCTTTCTTATTTCCCAAATCTCTAAGTACTGTATGGTCTCAGAGTTCAGTGACCTGGTTTTTATTTACACTCCCTACTTTCATGACCATTTCCAGTCCAACAGTTTCCCCTCAAAGAAAGGCAGGAATCCATAGGAGGGGGTGTTCAGAGCAAGTAAAGAGACTTGTCCACAACCCAGGAACTTGGAATTAAATTTAGAGTTGTGGATTTAAGTCTAGGTCAAAAATGGTCGGAAACAAAGATAGCAAAGAAAAATGAAGTATTGAAACTGGAAGAAATCTTGCCTCAGATAGAAAGCTTTCTAGACAATTTTTGTTTCTGTGGGAGCAAATTAATGAAATCTTGGGGCATTATTCTAGGGAATGAATAGTATAAATGCATTGGGAAAATAATAAATACACTTAAGTAAAATAAAAGTACTTCTAAAGGCTGGCAAAGAAACTTCCTTTTCTCCCCCTTACTCTGTAAACAAACCAACTAATTAGAAACAATCCTCTTTTGTAGTTTTCATTCCTTGGGATTACCAGTTATCATATTGAGGACAAAGAAAAACCACAGATATTACCTCCAAGAAGTCAGCTAGTTACATTGGATTAGGTGCAGAGTTTTCTATAAGTTCTAAACAATTCTTTCACGGTAACATTTGAAAACCTTTGTCCTAGATTAGTCCCTTTCCACTATCATAATAATAAAAAATACTAACCTATAATTGTCACTGTCTGGAGGCAAATAAAGAGCCCTTCATTTCAACTTGTGTCATCAGGGGTATCTACTCTTGTAGTTCTCAGTGAAGAATCTTGCCTTATTCTTGTGAAAGTTTGAAATGTTATGACACACGGTGCCATTCCTTCCACCCCGGAAAAGGTTCTAGGTCTATCTGGGCTCTCTGACACCTTGGATCCAGAGGTATTCCTAGGGCGGAATACTAGATTAATAATTCCTACACATCAAGGTGAAGATTCTTAAAACAAAATAAACAAAATGTAGATTATCGTCTTTTAATTCTGTTTATTAGAAAGTAGGATTATACAAAAATGCCTACATTCTTATTTCTATGAAGATAGGGAAAAGTACTATTTAAATAACATTTGACATCAGAAATCTCCCTCTCCACCCCTCATATTCTAGTGGTTAGTTGCTTCTGCTAGGTCTCCATAGCAAGTTTTCATTATTTAGGAAATGATCGGATAACAGCATGGAGAATCTACCTGGTATAAAGGCCTGCTTACATCACATAATAGCACTATACTGGAACAAATGTTTTATATTTCTGCCTAGATAAGCTGATCTGCAAATGGGTTGTAAGGATTAAATAAGATAAACACTGCAAAATGTTTCCAACAGTGCCTGGCATATAAGGAGCACTCAATTGATATAATTGATCATCATCACCATCTTCATGCTGGTAATTTTTATAATCATTATATTATCACACACTTTGTAAAGAACAGGTAAAAATTCACAAAATGTTTACAATAACTGGGAAAAATTACAATGTAGTATACTTAATGCAACTATATAAAACATGTTAGAAGGTAAAGAACCATGCAGCTATTTGCAATCATGAACACAGTTTTATTACCATGGATTTTTTCCTAATTGTAGTATTTGATACATTATTGTCTTAGTTGTAAAAAATCATAGTCTCTTCTTGCTTTTAAACTAATCTTCCTCACCTACCAATAAATTAAGTTCAACTTCATTTTCAATTTGTTCAGTGAAAATGTGCAGTGAAATTCCCCTTAGGAGAACTCTAGATTAGTGTCACTGCACTAATCCTCTATCGACCATCCTTGAAAGATATTTCAATCTCCTGGTGAATGCTTCCATGTTACTCATCCTAGGGCAGAGAGTTCTAATGGTTAGAAAATGTCTCCTTCTGCCGAACTTAAATCTCTCTCCCAGTTATGGGCATCGATTGATTCCAGTTCTGCCTTCTGAAGCTGTACCAGTAATTCTAACATGTTCTGAGAAAAATATCCCTTCACTCTTACAATAGGGGATTTTAAACAAGCCTAATCAAACAACGTGTCTATGGATGTGCGTGTCTGTTTTATTCATAACTTCAACAATGAGGAAATAATATAGTATTTACACACAATGTTATGACTACATTTTATACATCTTAGGATTCTAATTTTAATGTGATTCATAATACTAATTATGTAAAGAAATTATTTCAATAAATGTTTTTAATAAATACATTTTTCTGTTTTAAAATTTAAACGTAAATTCAAAACTAAACTTAGGTTTGCAGTTGAAATATCTTGAAAGCACTTTCTGTCATTAACTACATATAATGTGCATATTAAGGAGAGTGTTACAAGCTTCCAATTTATAGAAAATGAGGTTTTTATCTTCTCTGCTGGATCTGTAAAATTTATGTTTAATTTTTTGAACTTCTGAAAGGAGAAATGCTTTTTGGTACACTAACCTTTCAAATGTCAGCCCAGCAGGAGAATTTTTGGAGAGCTCCGAATAATAGAAAACACAGCTTACTAATCACAGTTATCTTGCTGGTAGGTTTTCTTTTGCAAACACTGTTGTACACAGTGGTTCCAAAGATTACTAAATTGCCAAAAATGGTCAGAAATTGAATCTGAAGTAGTTCTCCTAAATATTTGGTAGTTTATCTTTAACCTGATTTTTATCTTGGAATGTACTAAAAGTATAACACTACCTGAACTGAACATGCTTATTTTATAAATATAGTGTTTAGCTGGAGGTTAGTGTATTTGTTATTTTAGAAAGAGGGCATTTTATTTAGTTACCCATTTTTACAGTTTTAAAAATTTACAGTTAAATAAATGGAGTAAAAATGTTACTCTTGCAGCATGGTAATTTTACTTCTTGCCAAGATTCTATGATCCTTAAGTCATATTTAGAGGTTTAGGATTTTTTTCCTTCCTTGAATATATAAAGACAAAACAGAGTAGAGAAAAGATGCAGTTTTAAAACTACATTCTGTAACAGTTAATTTATTTCACCCTTGATGTGACAAAATGAAAGGTCAATACCGTCAGTCTTATGCAAGAATCATCAGGTGGAAAGTTTTTGTTTTTTCAAAGCATTTTTTTTCTCCTAATTTGGTCCCTTATGTATAGGTTGAAATTAGAGTTATTAAATTAGCCAAGAAAGAGAATTTTATGTGTTTTTATAAAGCAAGTAATTTTTTATTCAATAGACCACTGGATACAACCAATATTTTTTAAGCATCTGCTTTCTGGTAAACTAGGTATTTTTTATAAATGCATTTAATCGTATGAATGAAAATTACTATATCCATTATCAAACAAAGAAACCTAGGCAAAAGGAATATACAATTTTTCTAAAATTATATAATAAATTTGGAGCGTCAGTGCTAATACACATAAATCCTAACTCTAGAGTTGTGACATTTCCCTCTGAACTATGCTCCCGCTACAATAAGATACCAGATAATCAAATCAGTATGTACAAAACCGGAGTTCCTATTAAGACATTCCTGATGTAAGGCCTCTGGAAACTGTACATCCTGAACCTGTCTGACACTCTCTAAACAATTGTAATATGACATAGTATTTAATGTCTTATATGGATGCAAAATATCTTTGTACATAGAATAAACACTCATTATTGCAATAGTACTGTTAATTGAATGGGATGGTTATATACTGACCACATAATTAATAGATGAGAAAATGGATGCAAAGAAGGCTTAGGGTTATCAGTATAGAATGAAAAGGGTAAGAACATTAAGAGACTCTCGGAACATCTGTCCTCCATCCCTGTTTGAAGAATCAAGATATTTCTGCATTACCACCACTTAACCTTACAAATATAGCTCTCTCTCTCTCTCTCTCTGTCTGTCTCTCTCTCTGTCTGTCTGTCTCTCTCTCTGTCTGTCTCTCTCTCTCTCTGTCTCTCTCTCTGTCTCTCTGTCTCTCTCTCTCTCTCTCTCTCTCACACACACACACACACACACACACACACACACACACACACACAGTTTTCTTGATTTCATAACTTGGATTTGGACATGGTACCAGATGGTACTGAGCTCTGTTAGTTTTGGTAAGGATCTATAGAGAATATGTAAAACTTCTTCAGAAGTTGTTTAAAGTATTTACAGGAAGTATTATAAGCAAATTTGTGTTTATTATGGCTGACATTTCAACTTTCAATTTGTGTGACCATACACACTTCTAAAAGTTCATCATAATTTTCTTAATATAAACTTGTAGTAGTTCACCGTTGATTAATTGTTACAGTACATGCAAAAAGATAAGTGCTTGGAGATACTGTGGATTGGTGAAAATTTTGTTCAATTTTTCTCCTTTTTTATATAGTTTTGAATTTTGTTGCCTCTGCCATAATATGACATGGGCATAAGGTTTGACAATGAAGGACATTTAGGTCAACAGATCCAAGAGCCCTAAAATAAAACTGTATAACACTTAAAAAGGATTCCTTCTTTTACCTTCATTTGCAAACTGTGAAATGCAAAACAACAAGTGTGCCTTAGGGATAATTTTAATATTTATCTTTCTTCCTTTAAGAACTATTTTTTTCTGAATATGCATTCTCAGCAAATATCCTGTTCTTGTAGACATGGCTGAGCAATTCAGTTTTTTACTTGGTTGGGTAATTTCTTAAAATGCCTCTATAATCCAAATGTAAGTTTGAGTATAGCTTATTTCAGAGGTATTGAGTCTCAGGATCTCATCCAGCAATGAATGGAATTTAGCATATTCTGATACACAAAGCACACAATATTATAGTTCTAACAGACATAAAGAATTTCATAGTGCTTCGGACTTGTAAAATTATACTCAAGCAAGCACTAGCAGCCCACTATTGTTCCCTCACCCTTTCTTAATATTCAGGGAGCAGAACATTACTTTGAGATTTAAAAGTGGAGTGAACCCTATTTTCTTGAATGTTGAGAAATGCAGCTAAAAAGACTGGTCGAAGACAATGCTTAACAGCAGTGACACACATACATTTTTCTTGGTACCTGATCGTCTTTGTCTACTGTAGTAAAAATAAAATAATCACATTTTACTTGTGGATTTTAAATCACGTTTTATGTGATTTTATTTTTTGAGACAGAGTTTTGCTTTGTCTCTCAGGCTGGAGTGCAGTGGCACGATCTCGGCTCACTGCAACCTCTGCTTCTTGGGTTCAAGTAATTCTCATGCCTCAGCCTGCTCAGTAGCTGGGACTACAGGCACACGCCACCATGCCTGGCTGATTTTTTGTGTTTTAGTAGAGATGGGGTTTCGCCATGTTGCCTAGGCTGGTCTCAAACTCCTGAGCTCAGGTAATCCACCCGCCTTGGCCTCCCAAAGTGGTAGGATTACAAGCGTGAGCCACTGCACGTGGCCTTAAATCACATTTTAAATATTAAATTTTTAATAAAGAAATCCTATCTATCATTTATCTACAGAGAATTGAACCACCATAGGTAGAGAGAGCCATTTTCCTATTTTACAGATAAGTGAAAAAAAAAAACATTTACTATACCTAAAGTTAACATTAAAAGGATACTAGCTGAACGGTGGTATCACAAAAGGAAAAAGACAACCTGGTAAATGCTTGCCACATAATCTTAATAGCTAACACATGCTTTGGGTCAAAATACATTGAGATGATACATACCTTACATGTATCATCTTATTTAATAGAAGAACCATATGATAGGTACTATTATTGTTCTGATTTTCAGCGAAGACCATGAAAACTTGGAAAGATTAACTGTATAGCTCAAGTTTTTTTAGTAGTTAGCAGATCTACATCTCCAAGTTTCTCTCCCATTTCCGAGCCTATGCACTTAACCATTCAAATGTAAACTTGGGTAAATAGTGTTTTATCTTCCCTCCACTCTAACTAACACCGTTTTGTTCCAGTTCCCAGGATAGAGAAAAGATGAGAAGGGATGAATGAGAACAACTGTTCATTAGTCCACCTTATTTCTGGGTCATTCCACAAGACCCCAAGTGTTTGGCACTTTTGTACTTTATTCTGAGATTTTGTAGGTCCTAAGGCTTTGCTTCTCGGCCTTCCCAGAATTAAGGTTTTACCAGACTGCTAGTTTTCCAAATAAAATTATTTCTAGGACTGTATAGAATCCCTCATTAGAAATGCTAAATATTAAATTTAAAATGAGATGAACAAGGTGGCCTTGGTCAAAAATATAGCTATAACATTTATTAGAGGATAAAACACAGATATTAAATCAGATGCAATTATGTGTCATTGCAGTTAGAGTCACCCTGGGTGAATTAACCAGATAATTTAGAATGTTGCTAAATGTATATTCTTGTTTTGAGTGGATCCAATTTGTATATGCATTCGTTTGTTATTCATTAGATTAAAAAATATTTAATGGGCCCCTACTATATTCAATAGATTGTGTCCATCATGAGAATGCAAATATGACTACTAATGAATTTAAGAGAAAAAATAAATATCAGTGTCATGAGTTTTACAAATGAGTGATCTTTTGGATATCTTTGGTAAGATGGGACAAAAACTATAAAAAATGAGAATGTAACTTCTGAAAAATTTGATGTCTTCATTTTAGTTGTAAAAATCCTCCTTTTCACATAAATGCTTACTAGCTCTGCTATAATGCTACACATATATTTGATCTGAATTTCAAATTTTGTGCACCTTCTCATGAATATTAATGTGAATATCGCTAAAAAATTTCCAAAATGGGTAACAGTAGAAAAAAAGCAAAGAAAAGAAGTTACCGGCTTGAATAAATCTCAGATTTACTAATAGAGTGAAACAAATCAAAGAGCAGAAGTCAGACTCTGATTTGTGGGGTAACCTTTCAAGGAGCTCACCAACCAACGAAAGAGGATATGAGATGGTCTAAAATTCTCTTTACAGTGCAATGATACATCAGAAATTTTACTGGTGCCTTAAGTCTCAGAGCTCTAACTGGCTAACTGTGAAAAAAAGAAAGAGTTTTTCTGTTCTTTTCTTTTTTTTTTTTTTTAATGAGATGGAGTTTCCTTCTGTCACCCAGGCTGGAGTGCAGTGCTGCAATCTCGGCCCACTGCAACCTCCACCTCCCGGGATAAAGTGATTCTCCTGCCTCAGCCTCCTGAGTAGCTGGTATTACAGGCGCCCACCACCATTCTTTTCTTTATTTTATGTTTTAAATTGACAGATAAAATTGTATGTATTTATCATGTACAGCATTATGTTGAAGTCTATATACATTGTGGAGTGGTTAAATCTAGCTAGTTAATAAATGTATTAACTCTCACAGTTATTCTTGTGGTGAGAAGGTTTAACATCTACTCCCTTTGCATTTCTAAAGAATACAATATATCATCATTACTATAGCCACTATGCTGTACAATAAATCTCTTTAATTTATTCCTCTCATCTAACTGTCACTATATATCCTTTGACCACTATTTTCTCACCCTGCCTTCCCTGTAATTATCAGACTCTGATAACCACCATCCTCATCTCTACTTCTATCAGACCAACTTTTTTTTAGATTCCACATGAAAGTGAAATTATGTGATATTTGTCTTTCTGGGCCTGGCTTGTTTCACTTAACGTAATGTCTTCCAGGTTCATTCAGGCTGTTATACGTAAGATTTTGTTTCTTTTTCATGTCTGAATAGTATTCAATTGTATATATATAACGTATTTTCTTTATCCAATCATCTGTTGATCATTTGTTGATGATTTCATATTTCGGCTGTTGTGAATAGAGGGAAAGGTATGTCAAGCAAACATTAGGGATATGTCATTAGCAATTGTGGGGATGGGGTTTAGATATCCGATCTTGTTAATCAGATACTCATGTGCATTTGGCCTTATTGTCTCTAAATATTTTTGTAATGAGGAACCAGGAGAGGGAGAGTTTTACTGCTGTACACTCATCTTCACTACATTGGCAATGCAATCTAATCCCACACATGGAAATCACAATTATACAACATGGTGCCACTCCCACTAAAAACTAGCTCTGGGGATTGCAGATCTGTTTATTACTGTAGTCTCATTGCTTTACTTCTATTTCTTATCATCCTTTTCTTTATTCCTGTGTCTAACTGAATGCTGAACCTAAGACTTTGTGTCTCACTCTTTACCCATACTCACCCTGGGAACAGCTTTCTGCTTTTGATCTCTTAAAGTCTTATCTATGATAGTGTTTCTGATGCCACTGCATTTGCTCCTGGCAACTCCATGTAACCACCACTGGGGAATGAAAACCCAATATTTTCCTCAAATCTCACTGTCCGACATTCACAGCAATTTTCTGCCTTCCCTAACCTCAGCAACTCACCACCTTTCTTTTCCATCTCACACACACCACCTAAAAATGACCATATGCGCAACCCAGCAATATCTCTTAATTCCAGCTTCCCAAAAGAGGATAAACTGGAATGTCGTGTCAGACCAACAATTCAGGGTAGGTAGCTGAAAAATGATGGGGTTTCAAAATAGCAGGCAGAATTGGATTTGATTTGAGAGATGACTGCGAAAGTTTCACAGACTGAAGTGTGTATTCACAGAATTTAAAGAAAATTTGGGAGGACTACATTCACACAGGAGGCCAGGCCATTACATTAGATGATGTTTGAAGTGATAAGGAATTAGACTAAATGATTTGAACTCTGAAAGAGCTTTTGTGTTCTATTCTAGCTACCTATTTATTTTCTCTATTTACTATTGAAGCATGGATTACTTAACTGGCAGAAAAGAGTCATTTACATATAATCCCAGAGTATTTTTGCAAAATATATACTAGGTAGATTTTGATTATCAACCTCTTCCACATTTGACACATGGGGCTTTATTTTCATTGCAATTGTAGTTTCAATTGCTAGAAGTTCACAATCAAATAACTTTTGTGTTGACCGTTGAGGTCAATTTTGATTTCATCCAATTGATTTAGAAAGAATATTTCATGGAGAAATATACATTTCTGAGTGGCCAATTATTTTATTTATACTTATCACATTTTATGCTTTTTGAGTTTCCTTCGCTCCCTGAATTATCCTTGTAACTATGAATAAGTGGTTTTACTTTTATAGATGAGTGAAAGGAAGTAGCAAAGTTGTCAGTATCTCATATGCAATAAACCTTGCTAATGTAGAAAAAAATAGGTTTTCATATTATATTTTGGTAAGATCCAAAATATTGTAGGTGAAACAATGAATTATTTGCTGGTTGGGTAACATTTTTCAGGGCATTTGTGGGAAAGTTCTTATCTTGTAACAGATATGATTCGTGGCTCTCTCAGATGACCTTCCAACTAAGAATAATCACCAATAGTATGTCATGTAAAACTTAAATAAAAATGTGAAGATGAAAATTTGTACATAAACTAATTAAAATACATTATAAAAATGTGTTTAGACTCAGTACATAAAATGAAATTAAAATATTCATTTCAGAATATCATCTATTTCTAAAGTCTAATTGTTATGTATAAATAAATCCTATTGATTTAGAAGTGTTAAATACGTCCTCATATTGCAACAATACATACTACATGTTTATAAAAAGGAGAACTTTTTTAAAAAAATGGATCTCATGCTACCTAAAAAAATAGTTATAAGAATTCAATATATTTCTAAGTATTTACCTGATTTCCAAAGTGTTTGGCAATATGTTAACAAACCTTGTACTTTTAAAGAATTATGTAGGTGAATTAAAACATCTTCCTCAAAATTAACATAATTTGAAATAAATATAAACCTAAGTTATCTCTTACTACAGTATTATCACATCAGTTATCTCTTATCACATCAGCTTTCATACTTCAGTGACTTTGTTCACACGATTAAATGTAGCTTCCAATAACCCTTAAACTTTTTTCAGGGTTTGTAAAATCTACATAATTTTTAAAGGGTAGCTCAGATGTCATTTCTTCTTGTACACTCTTTGTGATCTATCCTAAGACAGAATTTTGTATTTACTTCTAATTGCAAGAAAATAATCATATAATAATATCCTTTGTAGACTTAAAATATTACACAAGGATCTCTGTTTTCTAGGAGGATGTAGTGTGTTGTATCAAAGAAATGTTCACTCTACATCCTGTAAAAAACAAAACAAAAACAACAGAATTATACAAAAAAACTCATATTTTAAAAAAATGTCAGAGAGCTGTGAAATCAATGCAGACTGTATCAACAAAAATGCTGGATAAGGGAAGAACTTTTCTGAGGTGAGCTGATGATTGCCTGGCAGTTTGCCTTTGAGAATACTAGAGATTACATACTTAAGTCAAGGACCTCTACTGAGAACAAGAGAAAACAGAAAAATGTGTAGTGTTGGACAAGACTGAAGTGAACAATTTGATTTTGATGGGCCACAAATGTCCGAAATGCATGGTTGATTTTAAGCACTGAATGCTTGCTTTTTCACGAGGCTTCAAGAGAAGTTGGGAAGTTAGCCTGAATGCTTCTGAATGACAAAGGCAATTATCTTGTAGTTCCATGGCATTTAGGAAAAATTCTTCTGGGGAAAATAAGTTGGTCTAAGCCCATGATGAGACTCTCACTCAAAATGTTTGTCAGATAACTTCCATGGGGCTGGAGGTAGAAGGGCTGGACTCAGAAGTTCACATACCTGGGAAGGGCATCTGAAGAGCATAGATAGACTTCCCATGGTCTTTCAGGACTGGAAAAAGCTCAGAAGAGCTGCACCCTAGGAACCGAAGGAAATTAGAGGTAGACAGAACCTTACTATAATGTAGCACAGCCCCTCCTCAGCTCAACTATGAATATTGAGCTGATCAATCTTATCTACTTAACAGAGTAAATAAATATCTTCCTTTCTGGAATGATATCACAAGAATAACATAGCACAGCCCCTTCTCATCTCAACTACTAACGTGATTGAGCTAATCAATTGTATCTGCTTAACCGAGCAAAAAAAAAATCTTTTCTGGAATAATATCATATATATAAATATATCATATGTATATATCTCATATATACATATAAAAATGCAAAAATAACATAAAAATAAAGATAAATGAAGTAAAATCATGGATGACCCTGATATTGGTGAAAATGGAAATGAATATTAAAATCACTGTGTTTATTATATAAATGTAAAGGGGGAAAAGTTGCACAAAATGAAAAGAAAGGACAATTTTACTAGATATGTTAAATTTATAAAAATAACCAAATATGCATTCTAGAAAAATAATATGTTAGTAAAGTTAGTAACTTGATATATGTGTTTAAGTGCAGATTGGATACAGCAATAGACAGAATTAATAGACTGGAAGACAAGTAAATATTGTCCAACTGAAGCAAAAAGAGAAAAAAATGAAAAGAAAAATCACAGTATAAGAGACATTTGGGATCTGTTCAAAGACTTTATATGTAAAACTGGATTCTTGGAAGGAGAGCAGAGAGGAAATGAGGCAGAAGCAATACTGGAAATGTAAATGACTAAGAATTTTCCTCAAATGTTAAATTATGTATACCCACAGATTGAATAATCTTAATGAACCCCAAGTATAATAAACACAAAGAAAACCACACCCCGTTACATCATAGTAAAATTGCTAAAAATCAAAGACAAAGAGAAAATCTCAGAACCAGCCAGAGAAGACACATGATCTTAAAGAGCAATAATAAAACAGACAGCTGGCTTCTCAAGAAAAACACTGGAAGCCTGAAGAAAATGAAATGGTATCTTTAAAAGGCTTAAAAAATGAACTTAGATTTCAATACTTGGTAAAAAAAAATGCTTCAAAAATAAATATAAAATAAAGCTTTTTTTAAAAAAGAGAAAAACTGAGGAAAATGCCAGATTCCTGAATAAAAAGGAATTCTAAGAGGAATTCTTTAAAAAAAAAAAATCACGTTCAGAAATTTCAAATGAAATTAAGAACAACAGAAAGGGTAAATATGTAGATAAATATAAACGAATATTGAGAGTATACAAGTATTTTTAATATTGTCTAAAATTTAAAATATATCCAGAAATAAACTGCATAGCAATAATAATACAAATAGTAGAATAATGTAAAGTTAAAAGAGTCTAAGTTTCTAATGATAACAGGGAAATGTTAAAGCAGTGTTTTGTATGAGACAGTAAGTGATTATTAACTTTACGAGCCAACTTGATTGGGCTAAGAAGTACCCAGATAGCTGGTAAGGCATTATTTGTTGGCATGTCTGTGAGGATGTTTCCAGAAGAGATTGCTATTTTAATCAATGAACTAAGTAAGGAAGATCTGCCCTCATCTAGTGTGGGTGTGCATCATCCAATAGGTTGGGCTTAGGTAGAAAAAAAAAAAGAAAAAGAGGAAAGGTGAATTTGCACTTTCTTTCCTGGAGCTAGGACACATATCCTTTCCTGCCCTTGGATATCAGTATTCCAGTTTCTCACACCTTTTGCCTTGGACTGAGAGTTTCACCTAGTTCTCAGGCCTTCAGACTTGAGAGTCGAATGATGCTACTGGCTTCCCAGTTTCTCCAGTTTGCGGATGGCCTCTTGTGAGACTTCTCAGCCTCCATTATTGTGTGAGCAGTTTCATAACAAATTCCCTTTTATGTATTTACATCTATATCTATATCTACTATGGGTTCTGTTTCTCTGGCGAACTCTGACTAATAAATCGTAGTACAATAAGGTTGCATTCCGTAATGTCTAGAGTAGTGGTGCTCATAGTCCCCAGACCAGCAGCATCAGCATAAACTGAAAATATAATAGAAATGCATATTCTTGACCTCATCCCAGAGCTACTGAATTTAAAATTCTGAGGATAAGGCTTAGTAAAGCTCTGTTTTAAGCAGCTCTCCAGGTAATTCTGATTAACATTTGGAATTTGAAATTAAATCAAATATATATTCAAATCAAAGTGTATATTATATATAAATAATATATACATAAAACCTAGTATATAATAATATATAACTAAAAAGTTAATAGAAGCTAAAAATGGAATAATAAAAAATGATTTATCCAAATAAAACAATTAAGGAGAGGAAAAGGACACAACCCACGTGGACCAAATTAAAATTAGATGCTAAGATGGTAGGTAAAATCTAAAATATATTAGATAGTATATTAAATGTAAGTAGACTAAGTACTCTAAGTCAAAGATTAAGATTGTCAAACTGGGTAAGAAAATAAAACTCAAATATATGTGGTTTACAAAAGCCACACTTTAAATATAGGACAAAAATATTTGAAAGCAGATGGTTGAAATAAATATATAACCTAGACATTAACCAAAAGAAAATTGGCATTTGTATTCTAATATCAGATAAAATAGCCTTTCAGTCAAGAGGCATTACTAGATATACACAGAGATATTGCTTAATCATAAAGGGTCCAATCCAAAATAAATATATCACACTCCTACTGCACTAAGTATGTTCTCTTTACCACAGTGAACTTAATCTAGAAATAAATAACAAAAAGAGAAGTTAGAAAATCAAAACTACCAGGAAATTAAACAGTATACTTTTAAATAATCCACTGATTATTTAAAATCAAAACTAAAATTAGAAAATATTTTGAACTGAAAGTTAATGAGGGCACAAGACATCAATCATGTGAGGTCCAGCTAAAGCAGGCGTTACACAGAAATGTGTAGGCTTGAATGAATCTCTTAGAAAGGAAAAAAATGACTCCTCTTATGAAGGTTGTAAAACAATTATACATCCAATTTAGGCAAAGTATTAGAAAAGAAATAATGCAAGTAATTTCAGAGTTCGATAAAACAGAAAATAAATTTCTTATTGAAAAAATTAACAGAGTTGATTATTGGAAAAAAATAGATAGACCCTAGTAAGTCTGGATTTTTTTAAAAAAGATAAAAATACACAAATCACTAATATCTAGAATTGAAAAAGATTTACTACAAATTTTAGAGACTTCAAAAAGTAAACAAGAAAGCATTAATAACATCTTTATATTGATGAATTTGAAAATATGTATAAAAAAGACAAGTTTCTAAAAACAATACAAACATCCAAAGTAGATAAACAATAAGTCTGAGGAATTTTGTGTTTATTAAGGAAATTGAATCAATTATTTAAGAAAATTTTAAAGAAAGAAAACAAGTCTGGCTTCACCAGTGATACATTCCAAAATTTCAGGGAAGAAATAACAGAAATTTTACTCTTAATATTCCAGAGAAAAGGAAAATTTGGTACACTATCTTTTTTAATTAGTCCGGCATAACTTTTATTCAAAATTTAGCAAAAATGTTAAAAAATGAAAATTATAGATTAATTTCCTAACTAAATAGATTTAATTGATTTAAACATTTTATCTAATCAAATCAAGGAATACTTATAAAAGGAAACTGTGTCATGACTAGGTAGCTTACATTCTGGGAATTCAAGGTTGGTTTAACATTCAAGAATCAATCAATAAATTTCACCCTATTAAGAGAAAAACCGGAAAAACCATATGAACATCTTGATAATTACAGAAAATAACTAATGGAATTCAACATAAACTTATTATAATACTAAACGAACCAATTTTAGCAAATAGATACACAATGTCTACCAATAAATGTATAAAAATAGTATATGTGATAATGAGAAATTGAATTATTTCCCCTCAGAGACAACAAGGTGAGTAAGCCCACTATGACTTCCTATGGAAGTCCGAGCCAGTGCAAAAAGTCAAAAGAAATAAATAATACATGAATTAGAAGTAAGGGATTAACTGTCATTATTGTCAAATGACGTGCTTGTATCTCTAGTTGTTTACAAACTATGAGAATTATTAAGTGAGTTAGTAGGGTTTCTGGATACAAGCTCAATGTTAAAAAATCTATTAAACTGAGTGTGGTGGTATGCAGCTACAGTGCCACTACTTAGGAGGCTGAGGCAGGAGGATCACTTGAGCTGGGAGGTTGAGGTTGCAATGGGCTGTGACTGTGCCACTGCACTCCAGCCTGAGCGACACAGTCAAACCCTGTCTCAAAAAAAAAAAATCAATTAAATTTGCATATGCCAGCCTCAAACATATAACATTATAACTTACAATAGCAGCTAAGCCCATAAATACCTAGAAATATATATACCAAAACATATGAAATATCTTTATATTAAAATATATAAAACATGTTGAGACAAATTATAGAAGACCTAAGTAGGAAAGGGATATACTTTATGGACTGGAAGACTAAATATTGTGAAGAAGCCAAATCTCCCAAAATTATCAATATATTTGATAGTAGCCCAATATAAATTACAACAGGTATTTTCATGGCAATTCTAAAATTCACATGGAAATGCAAAGGTCAAGGATACCCAAGCCATCATGCAGAAGTGCAACAAACCTGGAAGTGTTATACCAGCAAGATCCACGACATACTGTAAAGCTATAGTAATTAAGACAATTTGGTTTTGGTACAAGTTTGGGAGGGGCAAATGACCAACAGAACAAAACAGAATCTAGAGACACTTGCTATTGTCTGAATGTTTGTGTCCCTTCAAATTTATGTGTCAAAACCTAATCTCCAAGGCAGCATTATTAAGAGGTGGGTCCTTCAGAATGTGAGGGCAGAACCCTCACGAATGGTATTGGTGCCCTCATGAAAAAGGCCTTAAGGAGCTTGTTTGCTCCTTCCATGTGAGGCTATAGTAAAAGGATGTCAGACTATGGGGAAGAGGGCCCTCACCAGACACCAAATCTGCTGGGGACTTGATCTTGGATTTCCTAGCCTCCAGAAAATGTTAGCAATAACTTTGTTTTATTTATAAGCCATCCACTTATAATGTTTTTGTTACAGCAACTTGAATGGACTAAGAAAAATACCTTCATGTGCAATTGTTTGATTTGTAACAATGCAGTGTTCTTAATGTGCTGAATCAATTGGATATTTATCTGGAAAAAAAAGAATCTTAACTCCTTCCTCGCACCACATACACAATTTAATTCTAGATGGATTACAGATGTAAACATAAAATATGAAACAATAAATATGATACAAAGGAAAACATAGTAAATCATCTTTGTGACCTTAGAATAGGCACAATAGACTTATTAAATAGAGCCTGCAAATCACTGACTATAAAAGAAAAAATATTGATAAATTGGACTATATTAAAATTAAGGACTTCTGTCATCAAAAATCACAAGAGTGAATTTATAACCCTCAGAGTAGCAGATATTTTCTATTTCTGATAAAGGGCACAAAACCAGAATATATAGACAGCTCTTTAAAACCAATAACAAAAAGAAGGGACACACAAGAGAAAAATGAACAAAAGATCCTAACAGACAGTTCATAAAAGAGTATTTTCAAATACAAATAAAGCTACTAAAATGCTTTTTAATAGCGATTTAACTATTGCTTATCAAGAAAATGGAAATTGAAATGGTAATAGGATGCAACCGCACACCCACCTGAATGAATAGAATGAAAGGTCTGAAAACACCAAATGTTGGTGAGGATGTAGAGCAATCAGAACTTTTATAGACAGTTGATTGAAATACTAATTTCTTGAACAAATATTTGAGAAGGTGTGCTAAAGCTAAGCATGTACACCCTGTGACCCAGCCATTGCACAACTTGGTATATGCTCTCTCCTTAACTGCATGCATTATGTTAACCAAAAGATGAGTCCTAAAGTGTTCATAGAAACGCTGTATGTGATCATCTCAAACTGAGACCTATGCAAGTGTTAATTGTAAGAATACATACATGTGGCAGATTCACACATGGAATAAATATCTATTCAGCAAAGAGAATGACTAAAATCCAGCTACATATGTCCTTGCAGATAAATGTTAGAAACATAATGTTGAGCAAAAGAAACTAGACACAGAAAAGAACTTTTTGTATGATTCTATTGAATTGAAATACAAATCAGACACATTTACCTATGCTGTTAGAAAACCACGTAGAAGTTACTGTTGAGGGACATTTAGTGACTGGAATGGGACATGAGACAGACTTCTCTAGTATCAGTGTTTCATAGGGTATCAATATTTTATAGGTGTATTCAGTTTATAAAAAGCCATCAAGCAGGACACTATGGCATGCCCTTTTATATGTGTGTATTATACTTCTATAATATGTTAAATATCAGAGATTAGCTAAAATCCAATTTTACCACTATCCCTAATGATGTCTTCCTTTATCTGGGTATACTGTTTCACATAAAAATTTATTTTGTGTTTGCATGAGATCTACCTCATTCTTGGATAAGTTAGTTTTTCACATGCTGATGGACGCTCAGTGAGTAAATATGATTCTATTATTTGCCCTTTCAGAAAAGCCTGAACTAAACACCCTTATACACTGTTTTCTGTGTACATTATTTCTGTTTAGCCAAGGTAAATAAGTAGAAGCTGAATTGCTGTATAATACGATATGATTATTTCAATTATGATACATATTGCCAATTTGACCACCCCAAATTTATACTCTCACCAGCAGTATTAAGAGCACCAGTTTCTTTACACATGCATCAAACTTATCAACCTTTTTTTTTCTTTGTTTACCATAACATTCTTGTTTTAATCTGAATTTCCATGGGCATGGTGAGGAGCTTTTCATTTGTTTGGCCTTCTAATTTTAAGGGAGAGTCTACACTGCAGTCTTCTACTCCTTATATTTAATCCATAAAAATGATAGAAAAGAACATATAAATGCATAAAGACCTAAGCCAGGAAATGAGAAGACAGCCTCTTCACAGAACAGAGGCTGAAAAATACCAACTAGAGTTCATTGTCTCCATTCATCTTTCTTCTTCCAGGATGTTGCTCGAGTCTATATTTTAGCACCAATTTAATTCTGCTTACAACTATAGTTGGCTAGTTTTATGTCTATCGACTCCTACTAGTTAGTAAGCAAAACATTAAAAATGTTCTATTACTTTGGAACTAGCAAATATACAATAGAGCTCTGCCTATTTTAGACATTTAGGAAATATGTGTTGAGTGATACAACGTTAAGAATGGGAGAAAATCTTTCAAACTGAATATACTAGTTTTAAAAGTATCTGAATTTACTTACCAAAGCCTATTAATACTTTTATAATCTAAAACTAAATCTATTGTTCTCAGAGAACCATACAAAGCCGTGTTATGCTGCTTCATAATATTAAAATAATAGTTCACTGAGTGTGTAATCCACAAGACAAAGGAAAAAACACAGTGAGAAAAATATCCCTCTTTCCAACAATCTCTGTGAATCAACTTTGCATGAGAAAAATTTGCTAATACAATTTGAATATTCCATTTGCAATGTTAGCTTATGGCGGAAATACCTGGAGAAATTCCAGAGGACTTCTCCACTGTAGACATTTCCAATAAATATTTTCCTAAAATACAAATCAAACAAAGACACCCCATAGTTGAGATAGGATGAGTCTTTGCACTAAAAAGGAAGAAATATGGTGAGATGACTAATGGATGAAGATATATCTTTGAAAATTATTGTCAAATATTTAAGTTACAGTTTTTGGAGCCCAAATTGTGACCTAAAAATAAATTGTTCCTTTATCAATAACAGTCCATTTACAACCTCACAAAAAATATTGACCTAAAGGACTTATTAACATATCATACAAGAAGTTGTTTATTTTAGAAGTTATTTTAAAAGCATGAAAGGACAGAAAAGGAAGTTTCCAGTCCAAAAAAACATTATATTTTCAGCACCATAATTATTGTCATTTACAGTGCTGTAAAGCTTTAATCCAGGGGAAACTCATCAGTGGAATATGACTCAGTTTGATCTAAAAGTCCTTGAGAGGAGAACTGTCTGCAGATGGTTGCTCATCTGCATCTTGTAATTACAGTATATGTTCGTTCACACTCTAATAAACCTAAAAATATATGAGGACCAATATAGCCAATCTTCTGAATAAGCAATAACTAATGAACAAACATCTGGAAATGGCTACATGACTTATAATTGAGTAGATAATTTCCAGATCAATCAATGAAGTGTTGGCTGTTAATTTCTTAGTGTAAGTACTAGAGTACCACCTAAGCATTTAAAATCACTAGGCCTATTTGAAACATTTATTTGTGCAAATTATAATATTCTATAATCCTAAATAAGTCTGTATGAAAGTGAACTTTTTGAAGATGGACAACTACATGGTTTGGTGAGTGACTGGAAACACCAATAAAATGTTTCTAGGAAAAACAGTCTGCTTAGTGGGAAAGTAAATAAGTTCTGTTTGCATACGTCCTGTAACTGTAGCTGAGCTACAGACAGGAGCATCCCCAGAAAAAAAGACTCAGGCCAGTCAGGAGTAGCCACAATTTCAAAGACACCTCACTTTCTGTTGCCTTTCTAATTTGGTTACACTCAACATTATTATGGCATTTGTGTAAAATGAATTACTAAACTTATTCACTGGGAATCCTGACAATCTCTAAGCTAATGATTTTCTAAATTGCTGTTTCACTTTTGTGCTCTAAGCTCCTGGTTTCCAGACTCTGCTTCAACCAGAGTAGCTCAGTTTTTACTTGTTTTGTATTTTCAAATGCTATTAGTGCTTTGTTTTTGAGGAGGCATTGTGCTACCACTGGAAAGGGTTTAAAACCTACTCTTTCTTTTTTTTAATTTATTTTAATTTTTTAAAATTATACTTTAAGTTCTAGGGTACATGTGCAGAACATGCAGGTTTGATACATAGGTATAGATGTGCCATGTTGGTGTGCTGCACCCATCAACTCGTCATTTACATTAGGTGTTTCTCCTAATGCTATCCCTCCCTCAGCTCCTCACCCCATGACAGGCCCCGGTGTGTGATGTTCCCCGACCTGTGTCCACGTGTTCTTATTGTTCAGTTCCACCTATGAGTGAGAACATGCGGTGTTTGGTTTTCTGTCCTTGTGATAGTTTGCTGAGAATGATGGTTTCCAGCTTCATCCATGTCCCTGCAAAGGATATGAACTCATCCTTTTTTATGGCTGCGTTGTATTCCATGGTGTATACGTGCCACATTTTCTTAATCCAGTCTATTATTGATGGACATTTGGGTTGTAAAACCTACTCTTTCAAGTATTTTTTTATTTTAAAGAAGACAGATCAATTTTTGAAATCAACTGATGAATTATGAATGTGAAAGTTCAGGAAAATAATATGGTACACATGAAAAGTAGATGCTATTTTTTGAAAGATGGTATTTCTGGTTTTCTGATGGGTTTTGCACCAGAGACAAACTTTGTAACCTGCAGGAAACATTGAGACAGCTCTCACAGAAAGGAAAGGCAATATGTAGGTTTTTCGAAGAATTAAAAAATAAAACTACTATATGATCTAGCAATTCCTCTTCTGAGTATGTACCCAAAGGAAATATCTGAGATATCTGAGCTGCCATGTTCATTGCAGCATTATTCACAGCAGCCAAGATATAGAAACAAATGTTTATCAATTAATGAATGCATAAAGTATTATATACATCTGTGTGTGTGTGTGTGTGTGTGTGTGTGTGTGTGTAATGGAATATTATTCGACTTTAAAAAAGGATATATTGCCATTTGGAACAATATGGATGAACTTGGAGGATATTATACTATGTGAAATAAGTCACAGAAAGAAAAATATTGCATGATATCACTTATGTGTGGAATCTTAAAAAAGAAGTTGAGTACATAGAAACAGAGAGTGGACTAGTGGTTTGCAAGGGAGGAAGAGGGGAAAGAAATGGGGAGATTTCAGTTTGATGGTACAAACTTGCAGTTATGTAGAATAGGTAAGTCTAGAGACCTAATGTAGAGTGGGAAGATTATAGTTAATAATGTTGTATTTTATATTTAAAATTTACTAAGCGAGTAGATTTGAGGTGCACTTCTCTATCTCCCCACCCGACCACACACAATGGTAGCAATGCAAGGTAAATAATATGTTGTTTACTTGAGTAATTTTATTATGAATATGCATATCAAGACATCATGCTGTACAACATAAATGTATATATTACATTAAAAAAGAAAAGCACACAATGAAAATAATAATGAAAACGGCAATAATAGTAATTCTGAACTTAGATATGATTTCCACATTTTTGGTTTTCAAAACTTGAAATATCACCTCTCTAGCTTTTAGATCAAAATGAAAATGAGAAGAAACTGAAGGAGCGAGAGTCCTTTTTAAAAATCCTGTTGTGGGTGTTAAGTACTTAATAGGCATTATCTTACTTAATCTTTACAGTAACTTGTTTAATCTTCATAAAAATAGTAAATACTGTTTCTATCCAATTTAATAAATAGAGAAACTTGACCTGAACAACTGGATCCTTCAAAATTTGTGACCAACAATATCTGGGTTCTAAAGTCAGTTCTTTTCACAGTTTTATTTTTACAAGAAGATGATTCTTGAAAAGGATTAAGAATGTGGCCTTATATAAGTAGACTAGACTTGTCTGGTCATATGTTCATATTTTTCTTACAAATATGAACAACAGCAAAAATTAATTCTGTATATTGTAGCAAATTCAAAACTTCAGTACCTGTTACTTTAGATATACAAATATGATAAAGAAAAATCTTTTCAAACTAACATAGTGGTCAATGTTTATGCTTTTCCTTATGTAGACAGTTCTCGTTGCATCATTTATTTTGGAGTAGTGATGATGCAGAAGACAAAACATGCCTTTTCCTTCATGAGCTAGTAAAAGCTCCCAATTCTATACCTTAGGTTTTTAGTTTATTATAAATTTGAATTTGTATATAATATTCACCTATTTTTAATTACCAACCAGTTGCTAAGAAATAAAAATGTTTAGTTTTATTTAGAAATAGATAATTTTGTTTCCTTCACTAGATATGGTCATCATTTGGTATTTTACAACAGATTTTTTTCCCTAGTCCTAACTCTGATAAATTTATTTGGTTGTTATTTTAAGTAGTTTTTACCTGATAAAAATATTTTAACAGCCTTCATCTAACATTTTGGTCTTGATATTTAAAAATATCATGCTTGGTTTCTGTAGTACACATATTATCCTGGCCATGTGGTGCTGCTTTATAAGTTATTTGCTTTGATTTCATGAAACTGAAATAAATAACTTCTCTTCTAAGTTGTAGTTTATGTAGTGTATTAGAATAGTTATTATTATAAACTGAATTGTATCTCATAAAAATTCATATGGTGAAGCCCTAACCCTCAGTACCTTAGAATGTGACTGTATTTGTACCTTTAGAGAGGTAGTTAAGATTAAATGAGGCAAATGTGAGAGTGCACCCCTAATCCAATATGACTGGCGTCCTTATAAGAAGATGAAGAGATACCAGGGACATGTGCACATGCACAGAGAATAGGTCACGTGAGGACACAGTGAGAAGGCAGTAATCTGAGGCAGGTGCCTCACGTTGTTTCCAGGTACTTTAAAAAAGTTCATAACATTAAACAAGTTCTTTGATTATCAATATAACATTGACATGACATAATATCGTATGGTATCATAAATGCCTTTTCTTTTGAATTAAAAGATATTAAGACTCTACAGGTGAGAGCATTTTTTCTTCTGCCTCATTGTAGAATAAATACAGCTTCTCTCTTTAGAACCCTTTTGTACCAGTATCACCTGTTGATTTGGTAGTGAGGGACTTCCCTTGATATCTCTCAGATTCTGTTGAAGACAATTTCAGTTGCTAACTCAATCTTATATGTTTGTAACTGAAGCCACCCAAACCACCTCTTCCATCACTAAGCTTTTTCTTTCTACCTTTCTCTCAGGCTGCTTCGGGTGGAATGCATTTATCTTTCCATTGTGTTGTAATTCCTGTTTCCCAGTTATTGCTCATGATGTGCCTGTCAGTTGGTCCCACACATCTCTGCAGCAGAAAGCAGAGTGCCGACACAAGCCATTGCCCTGTCAGTCAGTGTCATTGACCACTTTTAAGAACAGCCTCACTGCAGTTGTTGTGACTACAGGGAAAGGCTAATGATGCATTGCCAAGAATTTTTCTTAGAGAAAGCAATTACCTAGCTATAACGGCTTGAACAACAGCAACATGACCTTTGGTTATGACACTCTCTTTATTAATTTTTAATTACTTCTATGCAGATACCCAATAACATTGACAAGATTTTATCTAGTAAATTTGTTTTTGTGCAACCCCTGGGTCGTAGGTAAAAAAAACTGCTGTAGCGAAATTTTAAAGGAGACGCTCATTATATATTTATATTCATCACCATATTTTAATGATAAAGCATTATTTTTACATTAATTTTGCTGACTATTGACTACTTTTATTTTTGCCTTGGTTCTAACAGACATAAGAAAATTATTATTGTGTAATAATAAAGGACATTAGACTCTTCTGAATACTTCAAAATATTGACAACGATGTCATGTCAATACGAGGATTGGATAAAAAGTCTAATTCATAGCGTTTGATTTCTTATTTTCATTTATTACTAGTACCATTTCTGGTTATCCTTCTTCTAGTCAAATTTATTTACTTCTTTGTACAAAAACATACAGTCTACATCTGATTAAAGCACAGAAGCTTAAGCTACTGGAACTTTTGGAGCCGAACATTCTGATATTTGATATATACTGGCCTTCTCACAGGCTACTCTTCCAGGATCAAGTAGACTTTAGCTCATAACATAGAGATTACTTTTATTTTTTTATCATTTAATTTTTGAAAATATATAGCTCAGCTGAATTAAAATATAGCAGGCAACATAGATTGGTGATATGTGTGTGTGTGCCTGCGTATACATGCCGAGAGAGAGAGACAGAGAAAGACACAACACAGAGAGAGGCAAATGTGTCTATCAACTTGTCATTATCTGTGGTGAAATTTTCTTTCATATTAATTGGCAGCATTTATATCGTCACATAATTGACAGTTCCTAATCAGTTTAATGATCTGTTTGTTGACTTACTGTTTCAATTAGGAGGCCATAAATTGCAAACAACAGAGAACTCAACTTTAATTGACTTAAAAAATGAAGAAAATATTTGGTTAAGTGCATGTGTTAATGGACGGGGAAGGGCTCAGGCATGATTTCATGGAGAGGTTTACAGTATCCTGAGAGATCCAGCTCTGTATCTCTCTGTGCATCTTCTTACATTGGTTTATCTTCACGATAACTATATTAAAATGACTGCAGCAGGCCTAAGCTTCATATCTATATAAGACATCATCCAAAGAAAGAGAGCTTAGATGCAATCCTTCAATAATTCTGGGATTCACTCTTATTAAACAAGCTTAGGATGAATATTAAGGTCTGAACCCAATGACTGTGATGAAGGAAATGGGATGTACTGTGTCAAGGTCACATTTCTCACACTTGAAGCTTGGAGGATGCCCAGGTCACATTTTCCGCACCTGAAGCTGAGATGGAACCCAGTTTTCCTGAAAGCACTAGGATCTCTAAATAAAACCATCCTTTTCCTTTCAAAAGGATGAAAGGAAAGTGCATAATAAAGATATAATCAACAAAGATAGATTATAGATGCATTTTAAAAATCTGCATTGCCTGCTGTAACAAAAAAAGTCTGTAGTATTCAAACTGCCATCTTCCATTCTATAAGGAAGGATTGACATTATTCTAAAAGATATTTTAGCTATTCCTTGTTGGTGTCAGAGAGTGGGTGTCAAAGAGGAGTTCGGCAGGGTAACAGAATGAAGAAAAAGCTGGACAATTTCCCAGCTTTCCTGAGTCAGGTCTTCACTGTATGGCTTCATTAATCTCTTTGAAGTAATTTCTCAGAACATCAGACACACATTCAAATGTTAGTACAAAAATACACTTCAAAGCCAAATGTGAATACTTTTTTATACCATGTATCACTTTGGATTAACAATATCTTTTTGATAAGGTATACCTATTTCTCCAGGATTTATAGGCTTAGGAGAGATATTCAAAATATTTAACAACTGCTATTTCATGAACTTCTGGCAATTATAATGTCCCCAGCAAAGCTGAAAGATGTATTGCCAGCTGATGTCACTAGCCTGTGAGTCGTGGTTGAATGACAGCCCTGGTTATGTCCTTCTGTAGGAAATCCTTGAGTTGTTATGGATAAGTCTTAAGGCCTAAAAAAAGTTATTTAAAAAACGCAAATCTAGTGTTGAAAGTGTCTGTCAAATGGTTTGATATTTGTGAGTAAAAGGTCCTCCTTTTGGCATTTTCTAGTTATTCTGGGGCTGCCTGCTTTCACCGTTGGTCTTTATTGTTGGTCCAAACTTGCTGTTCTTTAAATAGATGGTTCTCAAACATATTAGCTTTTTGACCTGTAAGAACAGATAAATTTTCCCATTACAAATTATTCCTTTTACAGTCATAACAATTTTTTGTTGTGTTTCTCATCTGTTGCTTCTATATCAATCACTTTATTTTACCTTTTGGGAGAATGCATTTGCTGAAAGAAAGTCACCATGTCTTTGGTTGCCATCCACCAATTGTTTATCTGTACTTGCAGCCCTGTCAGATTCATAGATGAGTGGTTAAAGGGTCCATACCTGAGATCCACCAAGCCATAAGAGAATGTTGATTTTGTTGGGAAACTCAACAATTCTCGGAGAGGCACTGTTGATAATTTCTGGAAAACAATTGGTGACTACAGCTTTCCAGGCACCCAAAATTTCCTGATGGCATACTCACTGTTTTCAGATTCACCACAGAAGTAAAACCCTACAGTCAGTAAAACCAGTCCTTTTGATAGGTCACACAACATTTAGACATATTTCTCTGGTGCATCAAGAATAAATCATAACAGCCTATGGAGATCTATTAATATCTTAATCAAATAAACTTTTATCAAAATGATTAGAGCTAGATTATTATTGACTTTAAGTATTACTAGCAAGGGCTTATTAATTGTGGCCGCCCTTAAATTCTGAAAAAAGAAAAAACAGAACGTTAAAAAAAAAAAACTGTCTGGAAGATTCTTTCTAAATGCTAGTCATCTCTTTTTTATTTCTCCTTTTCAGACCAGGCAACACACTACTGCTATGCTTTGAATGTGTCCTCCAAATTTCATGTGTTAGAAACTTAACCCCCCAGTTCACATGTTGATGGCATTTGGAAGTGGGACCTTTGGAACGCAATTAGAATTAGATAAGGTCATCAGGGTGGTGCCCCCATGATGGGACTGGTGGCTTTTCAAAAGAGAAAAAGAGACCTGAGCTGGCATGTACTTGCCCTCTCACCATGCGATGCCCTCTGCCATGTTATGACACAGCAAGAAGGCCCTCACCAGATGCTGGCATCATGGTCTTGGACTTCCTAGCATCCAGAGCTGTGAGCTAAATAAACTTATTTTCTTTACAAATTACCCAGTTTGCGGTATTCTATTATAGAGACAGAAAAGAGAGTAGGATTATTATTTTAAGTATAGTTAAAAGAGGCACATTTTACTTGTACTTTGAGTAAGTAAACACACACAAACTTTTTACACTGCAAAATCTTATATTTACTTCTGAATTCAGCCCTTATCTCATCTCTGTAATAATTCATAGTCCTTGCAACCAGCATAAGTGTTATCAAAGAAGAGATTACTGAGTTTATCACTTCAATGCTTACTGCCAAATTTATATTTGTATTCTAGACATACATATAAAATTTCTTGCATATCAAGCTCAAATGCCCAAAATGGAGTCAAAACTTGGTCCTCTTAACTGTTTCCTGTTTAGTAAATGCCAGCATCTCTTTGCCGTCATCTGTTGCTTTCGACACCTAGGAGTGAAGTCTGACCCTTCACTCTTTCTAATGCCAGCACCCGGACAATCAATTGATAATTTCCTGTCAGTTCCAACTCCTAATGTACCTCAAACCTGCCAACTTTTCATTCCTTACTGCTACTTTCCTGATCTAAGTCACTAAATCTTCTTATATCCACACCTGTCCCCTTCACTCAATTCATTCTCTCCCAGCTGCCATGATATGCATTTTAAAAAACTCAACCCTGGTAAGAACATTTAAAATTTAGTAGCTTTTAGTGATTTCCTATAGCTCTTAGGATTAAAAACAAAACAAAACAAACAAGAAAGCCATTGATCTTGAAATAAGGTTAAGATCAATGGTCCTGTATCATGGGTCCTCAGCACATAAGGTCCTGTATCTTGGATTCTCAACCCTGGCTTCATATTATAAACATCTGGAATTCTTTTAGGGTATTCCCCTTGCCCCAAGGAAGACTGACATCACTTCCTCAGCTTTATTTCTAATGTTCTGGAGAAACAGTCTGGTTGGCTTAACCAGACATACAGGTTAGAGTGGACAGGTAGAGGAATAAATGGGATGGGAGTTCCCAGAATATTATAGAGTGCTTGCAAACAAATCAATAGAAATTCCATAACCCAGCTTGGCAAGTGTTGGGACTAGAGTCATTATACAATTACTGCCATGGTTTCCTGTGTGTGTGTGTGTGTGTGTGTGTGTGTGTGTGTGTGTGTGTGTTTGTAGGCAGAGAGAGAGAGAGAGAGAGATCAGAAGGGCAGGAGCTGGGGATGGGAAGGAGGGGGCTTGGATAGATAGAGATTTACTTGAAGAAATGGACTCACATGATTGTGGAGGCTCGGTGAGTCCAAAATCCGATGGAGGAGATCAACACATTGGATACTCGGGAAACAGTTGCAATTTAGTTCCAAAGTCAGTCCACTGGCAAGCCAAGAAGAGCCAATGTTGCAGATAAAGTCTAAAGGCAGCCTGCTAAAGAATTTCCTCTTGCTCATGAGAGGTCAGCCTTTTGTTCTATTTGGGCCTTCAGCTGATTGGATGAGGCTCATTCACGTTATGAAGGTCAATGTTCTTTGCTCAAAGTTCAGAAATTTAAGTGTAAATTTAGTTCAAAAACATCCTCATAGAAACATCCAAAAAATATCTGACCAAATATCTGAACACTGTGGCCCAGGCAAGTTGACACATAAAATTAACAGTCATACCCCATTTGTCCTCTTTCCTCCGTGTAGCCTTTAAATAGACTGTTATCTGTGAAGGCATATCAAGGTATTTGTACAACTAACACAGATTGATGGAATCAGGACTTGCCTCTTTTAATAAGGGCAACGAATCATTTTCCACCTAGGAAAAGTTGAGAATAGTTTGTATTTGCTCTGAAAGAAACAAATCGTATAATAGATATAATCATTTCCTTGGAATGTTTGCTTTACTATATACAGAGTCACAATCCATCTATCTGTTTTCTGTTGTCAGCATTGCCCTGGGTTCTCAAGGACTTAAATGTACATTTTCATTAAAAGTGAGAATATACTCCAAAAACAATGTTATATTACTGTTTATTTATTTATTATTGTTGTTGTTGTTGTGTGGAATAGGGCATCATCCATAATGTTTGCTTGGAATGCCATTGGAAAAATAACCTTGCCTAAGCTGCTTTCACTTCCCTTGCATAATATCTGAAATTTAATTAGAATAAAATTGTATACTTGGGTCATATGATATATTATCCTGAAGAATAAAGATACACACGAGAGGAAGCTGTCTTTATTACCTTCATACAGTGAATTTGTGTATTTTTCTATAAAAGCATTTCCAAAGTCATTTTGTTAGAGCACTACTCATATCAAAAACTCATTCAGTAGGCAAAAAGTTCATTTCATATTTTATGCTACATTGCTTTTTTAAAGAGTCATAATATGCATTAAAGAATATTAATGATTTTGGGAAGTACTCCAGTTTAAAAAATGTTTTATTTATTTTCCAAAAATGCCTCAGACTTGTTTGTCTCTAAAGCCATAATTTTATATTACATTATTTAACATACTTGTTGCATATATTAGCAGATCCTCTCTTTAATGATTAATTCATTCAACAATAGCCTTTTTTGAGCTCCTACACAGCTCTAGGCAATGTATTACACTCTGAGACATAAAACTATGAATAACGTAGAGTTTCTACTGTGAGAGAACCCACAGTTTGGAATTTTCAGACACATATATGGATAAATTGGAAAACTATGACCTAGATGTTTAAGAGAAGCCCAAACAGTATGGTATAAGGGTTTGAGTTTACGTATTTGTCTTTTAGGTAAGCATGAGGTTAAAAGAAAAGTATTGTTTCAAAAACTAAACTCTTGCTGTGAGGAATGGAAACAAGAAGAGGTTTTAAAGCAGGATAGGGACAAGATCAATTAAAAATGCTTTCAGGAAGATAATTTGGCAGGAATCTGGTGGAGAGACTGTAGTGAGGAGGGCCTGGTGTGAGAAGGAACACATGGAAAGCTATTGCAATATTTCAGATAAGTGATCCTGAGTTTCTGAACTAAGGCATTTGCAGTGGAATTGAAGACAGGCCAGATTTGAGAGACATTCTGAGAAAGAACTGACAAGAGAAATTGACTTGTTGAATATGGGGAAGGGGGGTAGGAAGAAAGGGGTGTCAAAATATTACTCTAAAAGTTCCACCTTATATTTCTACATGGATGTTAATTCCAATAACTTTGCAGGACAGGGAGGAAGGGACAATGATATATCCTAGAAAAGGAGGTATTGATTTCAGTTTTGAATCCACAGAGTTTGATATTCCTGTAATGAAAAAAGATGGGCATATCCAGTTAGAGATAGAAATATTGATATGGAACTCAAAAAAGATCAGAATTGACAAAATTGATTTGGAGCTCATTAGCCTATAGATAATTAATTCTGGAGTGTGGCATCAAGAACATTAAGAGAGCATACAGAGGGAGGGAGAAACAGAAACAAGACAGGGATCTGGCTAGGACTAACATGTATAGTACAAACTACAGAGGGGGAGCCCTTGAAGGAGACCAAGATAAAGCAATTCAAAAACATGCAAGAGGAACAAGGAGAGAAATGGTATTCTGGATGATAGTGAAAAAAAGACTTTCAAGAAGTGCATTAAAGCATCCCTTAGTGAAGCACAGAGATTGTATTTCCTTTCTCATTTTCTTTTGGAGTCTCTTCTGTTGCTGGTATCCTTAGAAGCTTTTCTTTAGAGATGTTAAATATGCATCAATTTACCAATTGCAAATTGCAAAGCTGCAATTAAGCAATGCACCTTCTTTTTAATAGTTTCACTTCTCTAAATGTAAATATTTAACTATTGGCATTTATTCTGAGTAAAATCTCACATATACTTTTAAGCTAATGCCCTACTCCAATCCAAATTCAATTTTTCTGTCTCAGATAGGCATCACTTTAAAATGGTTCTGCCTCAACTGTTCTGTCGCACATGTTTCACTTGTTCTGGCCCCAGTGACTACTGTCAGGACCCATTGGGGGTAACCTATGACCAACTTCCCAATACAGGACTCCTGCCTCCTACTCTAAGGCTTCCCTTAGATGTAGAGAAGTGAGAGGTCACCATTTCTCTTTGTGTAACTGTAAGTGTTTGGCAGAGGTAGGGGTTTGGATTGATTAATCTCCTTGGGGCACATTGTTGACTAATCCGTGACAGACAGGGAGCCTAAAGATTAATTCTTCTGCTTTCTGACCCCAGGTGGAGTGTGGTGAGAAGCGGTTGCTTTTATGGCCTCTTAGAAAGTGGTCTTCCAAGGTGGAGCAGTCAGTCAACTCAGTCATTCATTCTTGCTCCCTCTGTTGGTTTTTCTCTTTCTTTGCCTTATTCCCCCTCCCTTCCCTCTTGCTGTCTTGGATTGTGCTTTTTAATAAAGGGGCATTGTATAAGTTTTTGCCTTAGGACTTGCATTCCATGGATCCAAACTTAACATCACTCATCAATAACAACAGCATCAACATTTATTAAGAACCCGTTCTTTTCTCACTAGTTTGTAATTTGTTTATACTATAATAGGTTATTAGGTGGTTTCTGGGTATGTAATCTGTTCAGCTGACATTTCTTTAGTTTGCTTATTACTGTTGTATAACACATTTTAATATCATACAGATCATTTCAGTCTACAGAATAGAAAGGGGAAGAAAGCTTTCCTCAATCCACTTAGTGTCTCTGGGTAGGCCTGAAAGTAAAACTGAAAAAGTCATAGTAAAGAGAAAAGCATATACACTGATTTATTAAAAGTTTTATGTGACACAAGAACATTTGGAAAGAAAGACTCAAAGACTCAGGGAAAAACATGTATTTGTATGCTAAGTTTGACAAAAGTCGTGAGATATGGATAGTTATGAAGAAATAGGATTAGAGAAAAAAGGGTATGATTTAATGATAATAAAGGGGGTACTCAGCAGGATCTGTTTGTTCACACTTTTTTTTTTTTTTTTTTTTTTTTTGAGACGGAGTCTCACTCTGTCACCCAGGCTGGAGTGCAGTGGCACGATCTCTGCTCACTGCAAGCTCCGCTCCCTGGTTCACGCCATTCTCCTGCCTCAGACTCCCAAGTAGCTGGGACTACAGGCAACTGCCAACATACCTGGCTAATTTTTTGTATATTTAGTAGAGACGGGGTTTCACCACGTTAGCCAGGATGTTCTCGATCTCCTGACCTCGTGATCCACCCGCCTCGGCCTCCCAACGTGCTGGGATTACAGGTGTGAGCCACCGCGCCCGGCTTGTTCAGACTTTTTCTACATCTCTGTGTGCCATTCCTTCCCCTTGGGTATGGCGCAGGACATCTGTCATATGAGGGTTTTCAGGAGATAAGAGACAGAGGAAGTCAGACAGTGACCTTTTTAGGTTTTATGGCTTGGTCAGGGTAGAAGAATTCTAGTTTCTGTGACCCACTTCAGAGGCCCTGGAGAGACACCTTCCTGCTTCTGTGGTTTTCTTATTTTTTTCAGTTTAAAACAGTATTCTAAAATGCCATAATTTAGGGTATTTTGTTCTGAGCCACGACTATTTTCCAAATGTTCTTACTTCATCCCATCATATAGTGTTATCATTGTATTAACATTATCATATTGATTATTTATTAACATGATCAACATATGTGCCATGGTTTGAACGTGTCATCCAAAGTTTATATGTTGGAAACTTAATCCCTGATGCAACAGCGCTGGGAGGTAGATCTAATAGGAGGTGATTGAGTCATTAATCTATTAACATGCTTTGCCGTCACTAATGGATTAATGTTATCTCACGAGTGGGTTAGTTATCAGAAGAGTGGGTTTGTTGACCTCTCTTACCCATCCACCATCTGCCATGGGAGATGAAGCACATAGGCCCTCACCAAATGCTGATGCCATGGTCTTGGATTTCTCAGCCAAATAAACTTCTATTGTTCATGAATTGCCAAATCTGTGGTATTCTATTATAGCAACACAAAGTGGGCTAAGACAATATGTGACCAATATAATGAGTATATGAATATAATGTGATAAATATATAAAGTGATCAATGAGTAATGTTATCATTATATCTGTGTTTCATTCAGCATGGACCTCAAAAGCCATGAACGATGTGACAAAGTCCCTACACTTCTAAAATGAGTTGCTAGAAGTCTTTAAGACATACTCAGAGATTGTGAAATTGGCTCAGTCAACATTATTCCATTAGCCATTTCCAGCTGAATATAAGAAAACAAAGAATTATCTGAGATTAAAAATTCTGTAGTGAGAATTGCTTTGCAAACAGTTGACAGAATATGATATGACCTCCTCTCAACTGCCCATGGGAGGAAGAAGAAGAGAAAACCAAATGGAAAAAATTTCAAGATAGTACTCTGGAGCTGTTAATGTGGTTCCACTGGAGCTTGAAGACCACTGAAACAAGGACTTGTATCACACTTGAAAAGTGTAAAGAGGAAGGGCTATGCCTGAGTAGAGTACTGAGGAAGCCTGGGGAAAGGGCTTTCATGTGGAGCAAGCTATGCTTGTTTGGGCAAAGCATTTTGGGTGATGCAGCTGGCTCTGAGCCTTTTCATAAAGGACCCCAAGGATTCTCTTGCATGGAGAGCAGGAGTTGGTACTGGCAAAGGTAGAAAGCCAAGGGCAGAGTCACAGGCAGCTAGCATGTCCCATCTGCAATTGAAGGGTAACATCAGGGAAATCTAAAGTACTCAAAGAAAAAAAAAAACCTATTCAAAATATTTTCAAAGTGGAAAATCTTCCATCAAAGAGGCTAATGCCTGTAAGGTTCAAGTCCTTTTAATTCTCTGCCACTTTATGAGTATGAGGGACCTAGATGTAGGCTCTGGTGCATGCTAGCAGCAGGGCACATTAGAGCCACTCAGGGAGAAATAGGTGGCTCAAAGGGAGGCACTGCCTGAACCAGCACCTGATGGTTGCATCTGGAACACATCTGGGACACAGTTTTATCTGCCCAAAGTTCCAGCTTTGATGAGTAAGATTGTCTTATTATATATGTGACTCCCTCTCCACGAAGACAAATCTAGTCCCATGAGCACTAGGTCAGGGCAGAAGCCAGCTCTCTGCCACCTCATGAACCCAGAGCACCTAGCTCCTATTGCCCCATCTGTCATCCAGGTGGAGCCATAAACTTTAACAAACCAAGGCTATGGCCTCTTAGCCATTACTAAGGAGAGCAACTCCCTGTGATTTAAAGATGGATTATCCATCTAACCAGTGCTGTCCTCAGTGATACTACAGTAATTTCTTATCTTTATTTCTTATCTTTGATTTTTTCCCTACCGAAGAAAGGGGGAAATCTACACATTCACTCTCTTGTTAGGCAACTGGGAGGGAAGGGCACCCACTACATGTGAACTGCAGAGGACCATGGCTGTCTACTTAGCATAATGTGAAGTGACTGAAAAATTTCAAGAGGGGCAATGATAGGATGTGGCAATAAGTAAAGGAGGAATGTGAACATTTCTTTTCTTGAAACTTAAAAGAGTAAAGGCTACACAATCCTGTTCTATATTGCTAAGCTCCTTTTCATTGCCACTTGATCCCAACATTTTATTTTTTAATTAATGTAACTTCTGCTGTCCATCACATTTTTTTTTAATCTTCTAGTGGTCACTCATTATTGTTAATGTATAAGTTGATGTCTAGTCCAGTAACAACCTTTTTTCTCTTTTTTCCTGCTTTGCCCGCTAAGGGAAGGGAATATACCACACAGAGAAGAAACTTCTGTATGCTTCCAGCTCTGTTAGTTCTCTTGGGTCCTGCCTGAGGAATTAAGTGTGGAGCTACCTTTACTGGGCATCACATGCTCCAGATGTGATAATATCCCCACCCCTTCTCTTACCATTCTGAAACTGAAAACAAGTGCATTCCATCACATAGCAGCTGGGCTAGGCATATTTTGGGTATCCCAAATGCTCAGACACCCAGGTTTTTGTTTTGTTTTGTTTTGTTTTGTTTTTTAAACAGCCCTTTCCTCTGCACTGTTACACTTTTCCACAGGGGAACCAACGCATGTTGCTTATGCTCAACCTTTGTCTTGTTTTGTTATTACAGAAATCTTAATGAAACCTTTCCCTTTTTATTTAGAATCCCACAAACCCTTTCCAACATCTGCACATTTGCAACATTCATGTATCATATTAGACCATTACTGCCTGGATGAGAGATATTTCACACTACAAGTAACAAAAAATAAAACAAGTAACATGAGGTGCTTCCCTGTGTGATTAAACTTTGTTACTAGCTTTTCTGCCTTATTCTCTCTTCCCTTCAAGGGGATGAGTTAGGTCTTTCATGAGATTTTCAAGTCCCTCAAGGAGTTCACTTTTGCAGTCTGCCTCATCATTCATCCAAATATGAGAGAATCTCATCAGTGAGCAGAGTTTGGGATGAAGTTGGCATCTCTCCCTCAACCCAACCCTGCTTCCATCCATCTACTGATTTCCAGAAAGTGATGGAGGATGACCTTTGTCCCTCAGAACCCTTTAGTTTCTTTAGATTTCCCTTGGAGGCCACCATGAGAAAGGAGAAAGGGTCCAAGTTGGTGGCGTTTTGTGCCCCAGCTTCAACAATAGTAGCTCTGCTTTTATCTGTTTTATTTTTTTCTCCCTCATGAGCTTCCTTTGTAATGAAGCGTTCCAAGAATTTTATTATTTCCCAATCCCGAATTGCAGTGCTAAAAAGTGGTCAGAGTGATACGTTAGTCAACATTGATAGCTATTAGCTGTAACTGGTATTAGTGTAGTCAATCCTAACTTTTGCAAATAGATGGTGAATATCAGGCAATTCAGGAGAACATACTTTCAGGATAAAATTTGTCTTCCCCCTAAACTTTCATTATTAACAGTTGCATAAAACTAACATTACTTTTAAGTGTCCTTGCTTTTTGATATGGTTTGGTTCTGTATCCCCGCCCAAATCTCATCTCAAATTGTAATCCTCACATGTAGAGGGATGGAACTGGTGGGAGTCGATTGGATCATAGGACAGTTTCCCCCATGCTGATCTCATGATAGTGAGGGAGTTCTCATGATATCTGATAATTTAAATGTGGCAGTTTCCCCTGCACAATTCCTCTCTCTCTCCTGCCCCCTTGTGAAGAAAGTGCTTGCTTCTTCTGCTTTCACCATAATTGTAAGTTTGCTGAGGCCTCCCCAGACATACAGAACTATGAGTCAGTTAAACCTCACTTTTTAAATAACTTCCCCAGTCTCTGGTAGTTCCTTACAGCAGTGTGAAACGGACTAATACACTTTTGAAAATTAAATTTTCTTGCCCTAAAATATGTGTATAAAGTTTTTTCTCAGGAGATTGTATATATTTATCACTGCTACAGTCTTTGCTTTTTTGAGGCATACGCTATAGTTACAGTTTTTCATACTGTTTGAAAGGCACGTAGAATTGACGTATCAGTGACACTTTTTATAGTACAGCTATTTTGCCTTTAAATAGCGCCAATTTAAGTGTGCGTTATTATCTTTGGTGGTCTTAGTTTCTAAAGTCATTATTTGAAATACTCTGTGAGTGTTGCTAGATTGTTATCTGCATAGTTATTTTAATAGCCTGGTCCACCCTTATCTCTTAATTTCAAAATGTTTTTCCTATTGTGTTATTTTGTAACCTACATAGAGCACAGTGAAAGGTTAATGGTGAAAAAGCTGATGTGGTGCAGTGCCTGGTCTCTGGCTTAGTGAGGAAAATATTTCTAAATGAATCAACCAAACAACTAGCAACAAATAAACAAAACCCTGAAATCAATTTATAAAGCAAGAGTCATCTGGGAGTCTCCTTGTCTCTTAGAGAACTATTCCAACTCGACTTGAACCTATGGCCTAATCCAATCTAAAACCCTCAAAGAGAGTTATTTGAGTTTTTAGGGTTTAATTCCTCCTGTGTCTCCTTACCTTTAAGCTGTTGTACCTATAAATACTGCCTTGGCTTTGCCTCGTATCAGGGTGAATGTGAAGTCTAGGTAATTCATTGGCTTCAGAAAAATCATGAGACAGTTTAGCTTTGTGAACATTGAACACCATCATGGGGAAGAGTCACCTACCAGAGTGACAGGCCTCCTCTCCTAGTGCTGACACCTCTTCCAACTCTTCTTCTCTTCCTCTTATCCTTCTTCCTCTCAGAAGTAAAAGGCAGTTCTTCAGACCTCTCCCTGAGATAGTTCTATCCACTGTCAAATGTCCCAGAGTCTGACAGGCTCATTTTTTTTTTTTTTTTTTTTTTGAGATGGAGTTTCACTCTGTTGCCCAGGCTGGAGTGCAATGGCGTGATCTCAGCTTACTGCAACCTCCACCTCCCGGGTTCAAGCGATTCTCTTGCCTCAGCCTCCTGAGTAGCTGGGATTACAGGCGGCTGCCACCACAACTAACTTTTGTACTTTACAGTAGAGATGGGGTTTCATCATGGTGGCCAGCTGGTCTCAATCTCCTGACCTCAGGTGATCTGCCCGCCTTGCCCTCCCAGAGTGCTAGGATTACAGGCGTGAGCCACCACGCCTGGCCAGGCTCACTTCTTAAGTGTTCTGGTGAACAAGTCTTCCACCATTTCATTACAGGAAAAACTTAAGGAAAGTTTTGTTTTATTTTGCTTCTTGTAGTAGTTTTGTGGTTGTTCAGAGTTGGAGGGCGTGACAGTTTTGTTGGGTAGCTAAGAAGCCACTTCTTTTTTATATAAAGGCAAGGATTTCCTAAGTTGTGGAATATGGTCATAAGTGGATTTTCCCTTTCATCAATATGCAAAGATATTATGAATAAAAATGAATTAATGTATCTATGAAACCAGAGATAGTAAAGTCAGAGTAGGAGAATTTCAGACACAGCTAACATAAAAAAAAAGTAACAGGAAAATGGGAAAACGTAGAGAGTAAAAGCAAGCACATTCTTATTTCTGTTGAGTTGAGCTGAGAAAACATAGTTTGCAGTTTATAAACCTAGAATGTTATAAAGAAGGGAGGACACAGAACTCTTTTGAACTTAGTTATTGCTTTAATTTCACTTTATTTCTATAGCTGCGAAATCGTCTGTAGGCTTAGTGGCAAATTAGAAGTTCTCCATGTGGATTTTATTTTCAAGTAATGATAATTTTAGAATTTGTTTTCATGGATCTTGAAAATATTGTGTGACAGATCTTAGGCACTATGCTTTATGTAGATTTTCTCATTTAATCCTTTTATCAAACTACCTCACAGGGGTAGGTGCTATTTCTATTTCATTTTAACAGTGAGAAAATACAAGAACAGCAAATTTAGTAATTTGCCTAAGTTCACACAGCCAGAAAGTGCAAAGCAAGGATTTACACTCCAGTAATCTCAGGGTAGTATCAGAGGTCATTTTTAAGAGGATCTTGAAATTCACGCTGATTAAGGTAACTTTGAATTGTGTTTTGAGCATCAAGTGTTTTAGTATGATTAACAGAGTGGAAGGTTATCCCCAATAAAATAATACCTTTTAATTATACTGTAACAATTTAAAATGTCTGATAACAAATTTATAATTACCTTACAAATTTTACTGATGGAGTTGATAGAGTATTTTCATAATGCGTGCTTTTGTCCCATTGATTAGTGCTACATCTCTTATTACTCATTAGTAGATTCGGAACAGGAAGCAATATGGAATTGGAACAACTAAGGCGTTAACTATCTTAGTCACGTTGTGTACATTCTGCTGAGACATTATCATGCCAGACTTCGTTAATAATTGCAGTACCCTTAAAAAATGGACTTCAAATTCAATTCCAGAAGCAAGAACACTGGGAAACAATGACAAATTAAAGAAGAAAAAGAAATGACACTTCTCTTTCAGTATGAATATCTACATGGTAGCAGAGATTCAGAAATGCATGGTAATTAGGAAATGTTCTGCGTTAAATTGTTTAGGCAATATTCTTTCAGGAGAATCACAGTAGTATTTACTGTGATGGCTACTGCAAATATATCCAATTTAATAGCACAGTTTAAATGAATTCTGATAACTACTTTGTCCTTCATCTATGTTACCTCTAACAATTGGTATGCAACCTTTCACAGCTGTAGAGGCAGCCTTGTCATTCATTGATGTTGTCAAGAAGCATAAATAATCACTATGTGACATTTTGACACGAGGGTTTATTTAGTGATGTTTGCATCCTGGCATTGACAGAATATGTGAGGACATTCTATCAGCAGCACCTCCAGCCTCACAGAATACAGAAAAGAATGTGCACTTTACTGATAACTGGAAGTGAGATTTAACCTCCCTCTCCCAACTTTCTTATGTTTTCCTCCACATTTCTCTAATTGTTACATCCCCATTCTTTGCTTTTATTAAAAAGAACTTGCTAAAATAACTTCCTTGTATCCAGGAAGTTAATTTATTATTTGGTAATTTCACGACATGTTTTTATTCACTTTTTGATGTCTGTTTGATGCAAAACAAAAACTACACAGAATGTTAATGTTAAACAGCAGGTATCTCCTTAATATTATGTGTCTGATACAGTGCTAACATCCATTCACCCTCTTTAATAGGGAAATTTGTGTATTTTTAGAATTCTGTCAATCATCTTTGCTGTGTTTGGAGAATAGACTTTCCAATTAGTAGATAGAGATGAGAGAAGGAAAACGAGTAGCTTTAGAAAATCATTACATTTTATATTTTAATTGGCTATTTGAATACCAAGATGTTTCTAGAGTCACATCACCTATGTGGTAATAATAAATAGGTAGATGCTCCCTATGAATGAATTGAATACAATTTTTATTTTCAGGTTAGTTTTAAATAATAATTGCTAATTACTCAAATGGAAATTTGAGTTACAAGCACACACCTTGTAGGGTGGAGGAAAGACCATGTAACAAGGAAGTAGAGAATTTTAATACATTCCCACTCTACCAATAAAATCATCCCCAGGGCCTCTTCCGTTATTTCCAGGAAAATCATGAAGATGATCTGAGGATGGCTGGGTAATCATGAAAGTGGGTGAGTTTTAGTGGCCATCTTATAGGGTAAACTCAAAACAGTTCTTTCCCCAAATGAAAATCATTTTAAAGTTCCCTTCAGTAAAAACTGGGAGGAATTCTACAAATGAGTGTGTAAAAATGACATTCTAGTTTCTGGCAGTTTTTTTTTTTCTGTAGTTGTTCTCTACCCACCATCTCTAAATAATTGTATTATATAGAGCAGATGACCAGCATGGCTGAACCCGGCCTGGCTCTGTATCTTTGTGGACACACAGTGGTGTGGTCTTCCTCTAGCTTAATGGTAACCTTTGTGAGAATTTTAATTTCTGTGTTCTTTCTTCCTCCTGGAAAGTATGATGCAAAGTGGTGAGAATTATAAAGACAGAACTTCTACATACACGTACACAGAAAGCAGAAATATTATTAATGGAAAAAGTTTAAACATTTATGAGCCTTACAATTCAGCAGCTCCAGACTCCCCCATCCATGTTCATTATTTATGCCTGCATGGGTGGTGGCATTGGATGAAACTGCAGTCACTGTGCAGTGTGTCCTGCTTTTCCCAGTTGCTTTTCCACTGGGAGAAAGATCCTCCCATGAACAAAAGTTTATATCCACACGTTGGACTCTTGCGATTTGTGAGACAGCAGGGAACCAGGGTTTACTAATTGCAACTGTTCCTGGTGCCAAAGAATGAGGGATCTCAGGAGTGGGGAAGGAAGATTGATGTTCTGTGTGTGACATTTCCCAGGGAAGCTCCTCTGCAACAGGCATGCCGTTCCCATTGATCAGTTTCTTAATCCTAGCTGTGCTGTCAGAATCACCAGTGGAGCTTCTGAAAAATACCAACGCCTTGGTCCTCCCCCAGATATATAATTGATTGGGAGTGGAGTCCTGAGGTGATTCCGATGCATGGCTAAAAACTATAAACACAGCAATTAATTTCAGAAAATTCATTTCACCATTCTCCCTTTATATTCACCTTTCAATTTACCATTCTAACCTGGGTTACCTGCCATTAAATGTTTGAGTTCTGTTCCCTGCCCCTTTGTCACGGAGGGTCTTTCCTGCCTTACTGGCTTCTCCCTTATTCCCTATACCTGTCCTCTTGTCCAGCTGCTCTGTTTCTCCCTTCTCTCCCTCTCCTTCATGCAGTCTTAATGCAGCCTCCATACTGGAGGATGCTAGAGGAAGTTACATAGATATATGTATATCTTCTAGCCAATTATATTCAAAACAAAGATGAACATGGATGGCTATGGGTTGTACCCTATACCCCAGTCACCTCTTACTCCACAAAATGGAATTCATGTGATTGCACCAAAACTAAAGTCTAATGCATATATTCATAATCTGCTGATTAGATTATAGAAATATTTCTGGATATTTGTAACAAAACTTCTGAAGAGACACCGATAAGTTCCATTTCTCTACTCTGTCTGGCAGCCATGGAGATATGCCACTGGATCTTCCTTCAGGAAGAGCTTGCCCTTTCACCTGGAGGCCATGCAGTTAGCTCATGGCCTCCAGTTACAGCACCTTTCCAGATCTGAAGCAGCATTCAGCTAAAGACAAGGACTGACAAGGGCAGCTCCCAGCCACTGACAACTCGGTGGGCTATTAGGACCAGGCCATCTTTTCCCAATGTGGTACTCTTCTAATGGGCACGCTGGGCTCGGGAGCTCCCCATTGAGTTAGCCAAGACTTTATCTGACTTACATCTGATTTACATCGTAGTCTGAGTCCCTCTCTACTCAATTCTTCTTCTTATACCTCTCCATCTTTCCTTTCACAGGTGTCAGCTCTGCATCACAGTTGAAGTCTGTCTCTGCTTCATTTTCTTCTTTCGCCTTTTATCTTTTTTAGGCATTGAACCCTAAGAAACTTCCCCTCTTAACTTTCTCTCAGCATCTGCTTCCCAGATAAGCTGTGTTGACGTTATTATCTGCCTTAATATTTTTAAACATTGTTTAAAACTTTTATTACTGTTTTCCAATTACTGAAAAATAATTGCAATCTTTTCTGTATATACATACACAGAATATTAGAGTGAAAATTTTACCACCTCTAAAATCTACTGTTTGTATTTTTCTCCCAGAATTTTAATACATGTTTGAAAGGTTCTATAACATGGTTACAAATTATTTCTTATTTTATTCTAATTGTGTAAAAATCTTACCCTTAAAAATCTTGTCATTAAAAATCCGTTCTCAGAGTTCTAAAATTAAGTAGTCTGAGCAGAGAGAATTTAATGCTGAACCAAATGTAAGTGATTCCAGTTTGATAGGTTTGGAAAACTCCCATTAGCCAGAGCCATATTTCCTGAAGGGACTTACTTGTTCCTCTGAATGCAAATAAAGCAGTCCTCTTCCTTTAGGTACTTACCACATTGTATTGATTATTATTATTGTCATTATTATTTTGAAAAAATACATATTGTCATAATATATTTTGTTGACATAATTTCTTCATTTCTGATCTGCACAAACCTTGGCATAGTGCTAGATACATGGTTTGTGCACATTAAGGGTTTATTGTACTGAATTAGGCAAAATTCTTATACATATTTTGACATCTGCGACTTCATTGGTGTTCTCAGGGGGAGAAATCCTCAGTATAACTTCCATGTACCTAGATGAGAATAGGAAATTGTTATTTTTCTTTGAAGCCCTGCCAAAAAAAACTTTAGGTCTGATAAAACAGTTATTTCTTTTTAAACAGATGTCGAGCTCTTGAAGACTTTAAAAGTCCTTATTATTTCATAAATCAGCATACTCCAATGTACAGCTTTGCAGTAAAGAGAAGGTTTAAGTCAGGAAAACCTTGTTAAATAAATGGTCTACAAGTTAGAATGGCATATTGCCTTTCTCCGAATCCTCAGGCAGAGGCCAGGGTTTGGAGCCAAGATTAAAGGCTGGATGAGTCATCTGCCATGGTATGGCAATGCCTCTGTTCTCACGTCTGCGCAATCAAATCTCAAACTGATTTCTCCTTCTCGTTTTTTTCTTCTCTTTTTGGCAAGAGAGAAAATAACTTCAGCATTCTTTTTTAGGAGGGTAAAAAAAAAGGAACACCATTCTATTTCCCAAAATTGCATATAGAATTTCAAAGAGTGACCTCTTCCCAGATATAGCAAAACTTATGGTGGCAATGGGAATGTGTCACCTTTTGATGTATGAAAGCATTAGATCCCCAGGCCTGCCCATCTCTTCATTGTACTTTTGGAGAATGGTAGGATTAGGAGTAAAGGAGTATTAAATATAATACCATCTTCCCCAGACAGTAATTAATATTTCTGGCCATGCAGACTGTCACGTGGTATGTCACAGTGGCAATAAGTGAATGACGAGAAGACAGACTCCAGGGATACTGAGATGTTCAAAGCCTTGCTTTTGTCACAGTTGGCCGATTAAGTCATTTTTAGAATTTGGACTTCTCAGGGGCAGAGGTTTTTTCTTTCATATTAGATATACTCTTTTCCCCACACCGTTCAGTTACATAATAGGATAAGTGCATGTAGAAAGTATAAAACACAGAATCATATTCTTCATTTTTGAAGTTATAGTTATTCATGATATTACTAATTTTGGACACAGCAAATAAGACACTGCCAGAAGTACTTTCCAGGCAGAATAAATATGTAGCTTGCTCCTAGCCGAGTTTGTTAAATATAGCTTTGATCCCCCCCACCCTCATGAACTGTATGGTAGTTTTCTCGTAATCTACCACCCTATCTTTAAATGTTAGACTCCAGATGATTTTGTATTCTGCAGTTACATTTTCCAGATCTTTTCTGGCTTTGTGGCCTGGCCTGAAATTGTGTGCCTCTCTCTCCTTTGACCCATTCTGCTTGCAGTGTTTCACTTCAGTTCATCAGACAGCACCTGATTAGGAGGCCTTCCATCATCCATTCCCCACACATCCTCCTGGCCTCTGCACAACGGGGCTGGCTGCCCTCCAGAACCTCATCCTGGAAGCAGCTGCCCTCACAGGAAAAGATGAGTTTGGTTCATCTGTGAACATTTTCAAGGAGTTGAACTCAATGTCACAAATAGGTCAAAGCCTCAGTGACATTTAAAGTGTGACAAAATGGCATCCTTAAAAATATTTAATTTCCCTGGCAGGACTGTGTCATTAAAAGAATAGAAATCTTGACAATAAGCAGATGTGTTTTGGAATCCCTGCTTCACTGCCTATCTGTGTAATATAAATGCTAACCTGTACAGTTCTAAGCACATTACCTGGCACATTAAAGTAGGTTCTTAATAAATTTTGGTTCTCTCTAAAACTCTATCAAGTGTTTATCATGCGTAAGGCCAGTTTGGATCATGGAATACCGGATGGTACCAAATTATTAAGAAGTCGATGCTCAGGGTGCTCAGAGGGAATCTTCATAAATTCTAAGCTGAAATACCAGTTAGAATGTGAAAAATGCCACATTGCAAATCTAGGGAAATGAGAGTTCAGAGGAGGGATGTATTACTCTTAGTGGGAGTATATAAGGAAAAACTTTATGACATCAATAGCAATTGAAATAAAATATGAAGAAGTCCTTCCCTTTCCTTACATACTAGTGCCTATTATTTGAACTTTGCAGGTGTAGAAAAAAGATATTCTAAGTGATGAGAAAAAAAGTGAGCAAATGAAGATAATATAGGGCATGTTTGAGAAATACCTAATAGTCAAAGTTGGCTAGAGCAAAGTGCCCATTAAAAGGAAGGTAGGAGATAATTTGGAAAGCTAGATTATGCCATGTGTTGGAGAATCTTAGATTTCACCTGCATGAGAAGCTAGGCCTATAAAGGAAGAAGGCCTTTGCCACGAATCAGGAATCCTAGGCTCTTTTCTTACTCTGCCACTACCTGGTAAGGGACGGTAGAGCATCCAGGTTCTACAGTCATATTGTTCTGTGGTCAAATCTGTTTCCACTTATCAACTCTGTGACATTGAACAAGTTATTTCGCCTTTATATCCCCAATTTCCTCACTTGTAAAATGAGAGGATTAGACTAGACCATGTCTCCTGAAGTATAAACTTATTTGTTTATAAATTTGGTTGCTAGAAAATGGCAAAGGTTTTTCATGAAAAAGTGTTTTTCAAAAAGTGGGAATGTTTTAAGATCTTCCAGATGAAATAACTGGAGAACTTTTATTTTCTATAACAATACTAAACACATGGTTTAAGGTGAGAGATCTAGTACTACTATCCTGGGCAGTCTGCAGGAGAGGAAAACCAAATAAAGACAAGAAAGTTATTTGAGTTGGGCCTAACTTGAAATGAGAATTTGAAGAACAGTAGTGACTTTTTTTTTTTAAAGAGAGGGGGAATTATGAGGGATATTGCAGCAATAACAATAAAAAAGACTTGGAACCTGATTCAGTATCATTTCTAAAGCTAACGAGCATAGGAAGTATTACTCTTTTTCAACAAAAACTTACATGTTTTTTATATTGCCATATAAGTGATCTGATTTAGTCATTACTTTTATTTAATTCCATATTACTCAGAGAGCTTCAATGCATGTAAAGTTTCCAGTGATATAGATTGGCACATATTATTGATCTAATAAATATTTATTGTGGACCTAGTATGTGATACTTTTCTAGGTACTGGAGACATAGCAGAGAACAAGACAGATGAGGTCCTTGCTCTTGTACAGCTTACATGCTACAACTGATAATGGTGGAAGAGAAAGACAACAAACAAATGAAGAAAATGGTAGCTAAAAAAAAAAGTGAGATGAGGAACATAGATAAGGTTGATGTGATGGGAATACCTGAGATGCTAGGGAAGGCTTCCCTGAGAAGGATGCATTTAGGTTGAGAGTTGAATGAGTGAAGGAGCGAGCAACACGGAGCGGCAGAGCAAGAACTTTCTAGGTAGAGGGAACAGATCTAGTGCAAAGGCCCAGGGCTGGAGCTATGCTTTGGTGTGTATCAGGAATTGAAAGAAGCCAAGCTGCCAAGGGCATAATGAGCTTGGGGGAGAGTAGTCAGAGATGAGATGAGAGTATAGGTGTTAGTTCACAGCATGCTGCCAACTCCAAAAGCTCATTTGTAATCTCTTCTTGGTCTTGTTGCAACTTTATAGCCCACTATATAACATCCTTCATAGCAGAAATAAAAAAAACACATTTACTCTCTTTTTTCATACCAACACTAGGAAAATGTTCAAACTCCCAATTTCTCAGGGGAGAAAATTAGGTCTCAAAGTTGTTCAGCTACTTGCTCAAGGTCACACAGCTTGTAAATGGCACAGACGCGACTCAAATCAGGTCTTATGATTCTAGGACCAGAGAAGTTTCCACTTCCCACGGTGTCACTTTCCCTTCTTATGTAATTTTAAGAGAACAAACAGATAGTTACTGACCTTTTATCAGCGAACTGGCAGGAGAAGCATCTGTAACTGAGGATAGATGTTTTAACCAAATAACAGTGAGAGTCCCCTGCTTATGGCTGACAACCTGACATGCACTTTCCTGCAGTTGGTTTATAAGTAGAGAGGTAGAGAGGAGTACCTATTGGCAGAGAATGCATAGAGTAATTATGTACTTATTTTCCTTTCCATGGGAATCTTATAGCAGCCTTTTGCTTTTATAATGCCATGATTTGATGATTTTCCAACAAAATCAACTTCATGTATCTGGGCTGACTGAAATATGCCTTAAGATACCATGGCATTTTAAAGCAAACGTGAAATGTGGTAAACAAGCTGGTATTTACTCATGGGCACTCTATTAGCTATTTCTGCACTTTGCCCCTCCATTAAGTTAACTGCCAGGCTGAGGCCATTAAAATCCAGCCTTCTTCCTTCAATTATAGGCACACATTAACTCTAGATATTCTGAGCCTTTCTAATAGAGCCATTTGCAGAAAGGATTTCTATTAGTGTTTCTCTCCTTTCTGTTCTCATCCTAAGGCCCCTCCTGCTTCCTGCAACTTTGAGTTCTGAATATGCCTATCTGAGAGCCAGTTGGGATCTCTGTTTATGATGCAACCCCAAATCCAGGCATCCGTTTAAACGAGTGCCCAGTTACAGAGACATATTGTACTTCTCTTCCTTCAGAGAGCAGCATTTGCTTTTTACTGGGGGCTTTCTGACTGATGCAGGGGGCGAGGAAGGAGAGTTGGCGGGCGTTTGGGAGCAGATTTAGAGCCGCTTCTCATTGGAGGGGCTCGCTTTTCCTGAGCTGCCAGACACTGCAGGCTCAACTGAGGCTCGGAGGTGCAATTCAGGCTGGTGGAGCAGCGGGGGAAGGCAGGGACAGGCGGGGCTAGCGCGGCTCTGCAGCTGATCACACGCACCACCACACACACCACATTCCTGCTGCCCCGGCTTGCGCCTCGCATCTTCCACCCGGGGCCACCGAGGCGCTGACAAGGAGTGGGGGACCGAAGAAGGAAGAGGCAGAGGAAAAGCTAGAGCGGCGCTACTGTTTAACCTGAAAGTCTGACCGGCAGCCCAAGGCTCGAACCCCGTCCAGCAGCACCGCTGTCGCCTGGAAGGAGGGCACAGCGCCAAGGAACCCACGAGCCCCCGCTCGAGTCATTCTGTGCTCTGTGCGCCAAGGATCTTTCTGGCAGGGACAGCGCGGTGCCCTCAGGGAGGTGCGGAGCTTGGGGGACCTGCATTGGCGCCCATCGTGGTACACCAGGAAAAGTGGGAACGAGGAAAACAGCCGTGAGCGCAGAGTGCGAGGCCAGGCTGCCGCTACCGCCCGCTGCGCCGCCTCCTGCCCTCTCCCGCTGGGTGAGTGCCCAGGCTTCGCGCACTGCCGTGTCTCAGCTGAGCGCGGGGGCGGCCTGCGGGCCCTTGAGGGTCCGCCGGAGGGCCCCGGTGGCGCCCGCGGAAACTCGGCGGTCGGGGGACGCCAGGCGGACAGGTCTCTGGAGTCCGGAACCCGGGAATCTGAGCCCGGAGGGCGTGGGTAGGGGGCGTTGCACCAGTGCCCGGCAGACATGCCTTTGGGCGGGATTTTGGCTAAAAGATAGGAGACAGGTGCGCCGGGGGTGCGGGGAGCGGTCCCAGGGGGCGGGAGATTGGGGAGCGGCGGGGAGGGGGGAGGGTCTGGTCCAGGCAGGTAAAGGCAGCTTCTTAGGCAGCCAGCGAGTTGGCAGGTGGGTTGGGACTCGCTTGTCAACTCATTAATTTTAAGCAGTCAGTTTGGGGGTACTGCAGGATAATCAGGAGGGCCGTGGGGAGTCAAGAGGTGACCCGGGATGCCGGTGGTGGGGAAAGAAAAGAGGAGCCTCTGGAAGCTTGGAGGCAAAATTGCGCTTGGGTTCCTGTTCCTTGCATCCCTCCTGGCTTGAGTGCGGGAGAACACTTTTTAAAGACTCACCTTGGAAAGAAGGCCTCCGTCCCAGGGGAGAAGGAGAGGCGTCTGCAGGGGGCAGAGACCGCAGCTACCTGCCGGGTGCGCCCCCCACCCAGGAGCGCTCGCTTCGCCCCCTTTCCTCCCCCGCCCCCACCTCCTTATTGGTGCTAGTTTGCAGCGCCCAGCTCCTGCGCCTTCGCTTCGCGTTTGAATCTGGCTCGCCCCTTCGTATTATGTCTGCACTCCGAAGGAAATTTGGGGACGATTATCAGGTAGTGACCACATCGTCCAGCGGCTCGGGCTTGCAGCCCCAGGGGCCAGGCCAGGACCCTCAGCAGCAGCTTGTGCCCAAGAAGAAGCGGCAGCGGTTCGTGGACAAGAACGGCCGGTGCAATGTACAGCACGGCAACCTGGGCAGCGAGACAAGCCGCTACCTCTCGGACCTCTTCACCACGCTGGTGGACCTCAAGTGGCGCTGGAACCTCTTCATCTTCATTCTCACCTACACCGTGGCCTGGCTTTTCATGGCGTCCATGTGGTGGGTGATCGCCTACACTCGGGGCGACCTGAACAAAGCCCACGTCGGTAACTACACGCCTTGCGTGGCCAATGTCTATAACTTCCCTTCTGCCTTCCTCTTCTTCATCGAGACGGAGGCCACCATCGGCTATGGCTACCGATACATCACAGACAAGTGCCCCGAGGGCATCATCCTCTTCCTCTTCCAGTCCATCCTGGGCTCCATCGTGGACGCCTTCCTCATCGGCTGCATGTTCATCAAGATGTCCCAGCCCAAGAAGCGCGCCGAGACCCTCATGTTCAGCGAGCACGCGGTGATCTCCATGAGGGACGGAAAACTCACGCTTATGTTCCGGGTGGGCAACCTGCGCAACAGCCACATGGTCTCCGCGCAGATTCGCTGCAAGCTGCTCAAAGTAAGTGCTCCCCGCCCCTTCCCCACCGGGAGACCTGCGTCCCCCAAACCCGCGGAGTAACTCGTCTGAGAACCAGCCCGGGCCCCCTCCCCTGGTTCTACCTATAGCCACAGGTAAACTTCCTTTTGGGGGGTTGGGGGTTGGAGGACTGGGCAAAGAATGCGGTTGACAGTTCTGTTCCTTTTCCACTCACTCTCGTGCTCTTGTTTATATTCGTCATTTCGGATCTGCTTGTATCACTTACTGGACTAGTAACACGTGAGGACTGCTGTTGGCTCCTGGAGCCATGAGGGCAATTAGTGCCCTGTTCGCCTTCCTGTCCCTGTTGCTTCGCTATTCAGAGCGATTTTATTTGTTGTCTACACACTACCCCATTCAATGCGAGGTACTAGAACTCAACTGAACAGCTGTTATTTTGAAGAAATAGGTGCTGAACTTGCCTCAACTTTCACGATGGGCTTTTCTTATTTTTTTCTTTCCTTTTTTTCCCCCTAATAATATTAGGAGGCGGATTACTCCTCTGGACCCAATGACTTTAACTCTATGGTCATCTTTTTAACAAACACACAGATACAAGAAGCAGATAGTAAAGTGGAAGAAACCACACTTGGTTCTTTTAAATTTTTATTTTTACTAAATATTTTCTTGGAGAAGTATTCTTTGAAAGCTTGAGTGCTTTTCCTGTAGAGCCTCTTGTTAATTTTATTCTTAATTGCCTGTTTCTGTGAAGCCTTTGTCAATTACAGATTTCACTTGAAGCTTTCAGCATCCATTAAAGAAGAATTGCTTCCTACCATCAACGGTGTAAATGCTAAAACAAATTGCACATGGAGTGGTTATTAAAGCAAGGTCCGTCTAGTCGTTAGAGGGCACCACCACAAACAAGAGAAGTCCTTCTTAATCACTCATCCAATTAGAGTATGGGAAGGAAGGCTTAAAGCCCAGTTGTTTGTCTCTGTGTGTGATTTACAATTCATTTTTTTCCCTAGAGGGATTTGTCTTAGTAGTTTTCAGATGTCCATAAATTGAAAAAGATGACCTTAAATAAATAGTTCGTACAATGAAAAATATTTATCTGAGGTTGCGTAGAGAACTGAAGCCAGAGTCTGAATTTAGTATTAATAAAATGAAAATCTGATCAATATTTGAGATTTTGCCTTTGAAATTTCAATTTCCAATCCACAAGTATATATTGTTTTACACAGCCCCAACTTAATGTTGTAGTTAAAAGGGATCCAATGTGCTTTTAAAAAGTTTTGCTCTTGTGTCATTTTCATTATTCACTTACAAGATCTTACCATAATTATCCTTGACCAAGTTGCTCAGTAAAGTGTTTAAATTAAAGCAGTTCACTTGTCCTGTCACATCATATCATATGCATATTTACTGTGCTACATACAGTAAATAAACTACATTTTGTACACCACAGTGGAAAATTATCAACCTGGTTCTGATGTAAACGTTCATTAACTATGAATAAATAATTTGGGTAGATCATATTCATATATAATTAATTTCAATGAACTGCATACAATTTTTTAAAATTTAACTTAGTGTATTGTTATTGACCGCTGTTTGAACCAAGCAGTTTGTCAGATCAAGCTGGGCAGTTGTGTTGTAGATATGTTTATTACAATAGTAACTGTATGTGTCTTTAGCTTTGCATAGACCACAATATAGCACCTGCTTCTTTAGGTTAGGCCTACTAGACAGATAGAAATACTTTGTTAGTATAGTGGCAAGGTTTCTGTTCAAGCAATCCATGTTTATGTATCACTTTGAGACTTACTGAAGAGTAGTTTACAATATTAACTGATGTAATGGAAATTGACAATTAGACATTAAAGGTTATTTATAGACATTCTTTAGTTTTTTAAACATTTAAGGTTATTTATTACAGATGTCTTTTCCAGACAACATATTTTTGATGTTTATAGATTTTATTACATTTTATTTCAACAAAGCCAGTCATAATTAGAATTAACCTATATGTTAGTTTTTGTTTATTTTCTTCATACAAAGGTACAATGATTCTGAAGCACTCAGTCTCTACACTGGTGCAGGGTACTGATAATAATTTTTCTGCCTAAGGAAATGTACCACATATACCATAAAGAGTATCCTAGTTAAAAAGATGAAAGATGTATAGTGTCGACAAATTTGGAGCAAGGTGCTATATTAACACAAGGTGATAAAAACATCTAGTTAAAACAATACATATAATATTCTTATAAAGTCTTTTACTTTTGATTTGTTAGGAAGATGTCAGTGCTAGAAGTAAACACGATTTACCTGTGGCATCAATTTATATTTAAACAAAATTATGGTGAAATTCTCCCCATGGCGAAGGGAGAGAGTTGATCTGTGAGTAGCTCTTCAACTAGTCAGTTAGCGTAGCTTGTTCAAAGTTAATCTTTCCTGTAGGCATGGTAATTTAAATGAATTGCTGTAGTTCCTGTTATTCCTTAGACTTCATTAAAAAGGAGTCATGTTTTATTGGGGAAATAATAACATTCAGCAAAATTAGAGGGGAGATTTGCCTTTAATAAGTTGCTCTCATTTTCTCTTAAGAACTGAGATTAAGTGACCTAAAACAGTCAACTGTATTTTTAAATAGAAGCTATACCAAAATCTTGGCATAATAATATGTCCCTATCAGTTTTATACATTATTCTGATTAAATATTACACACAATTTCCCCCTTTTAACCTCCATTTAACAATTTAAATGCAAAATTTATGTGTCTTTAATGCAGAATGTGTAGAATTTTTAAGGCAACAAAATCCAGTATAATATTTAATGCTAGTAACTATAGTGCATGTATTCTTTTCCTACTACCTAATTTAATTTACTAATTTTTCTATTACTGTTTTCTTATTTGCTAAATAAAAGCTTCTTTAGATAAATGTAAAACTTCTATTTAATAATTATAAAGCACTTTTTGATTCTTGGGGAGACAATAAGAACATGGGCATGGCTTTCTAATGCTTTCTGTTATGAAATTTCTCATGTATAATAGTTTTTAAATGCCTAACTTTTGATGGAAGTTTTTTGTAAAACTTATTTGCCTAATTTTTATTATGCTTTTCACTTATTTGAAAGCACATTTTATCTCATCTCTATTCCTGTCTTCCAGCCTTACAAACACTAAAATATCTTTCAGTAGTCAAATATAGATCTTTCAACTTTATGCCTGGAGGGGTCAGTCCTTTTTCTACTCATAAAAAGAGAAAGTAGATTACATAAAAATCAAAGGCTATAGTTTGAAGTTCCTCATTAAAATCTGTGATTGAATTATAAATATAGCTATAGACAGCTCTTTTAAGATGAATATTCTTTCTTCCTCTTCTCCCCATATTGAATTTTTACTTGAATTTTCCATTTATTTTAGTTATCTTCTTTTCTCTTTTTGTTTTACCCAGAAAATAAGGACTAACTAGTATCATGGCTATGCTAAGTTAATATGTCATCCAATCGAAAGTTTTTATAAAAATGCCTGGATTAGGGATTTGAGACCAGTAGTTGTAATGTTGAACCCTATAGTTTAGTGCTGGGTTTAAAGGATTTGGAAGTCTTACTTACCCCTTTCTACCAACCTAATAATAATGGTTGATAGACCTAGGCATACAACTTGTTAGGGCAAGAATTAATTACTATTCTTTGATAACTGTTCGAGAAATTACAAATTTATTATCTCAATGCCATCATATATATGGTTATACTCATCCAGTCAGCACACATTTTTTACATAAAGTAAACATAAAATAAACTATGGTTGCATTCATATTTTGAAACAAAAAGGTAAGGATTAATTTTCTGGAAGCATAATGTTACTTCTTTATAGTTCTATTTATTGCCAATAGGCATCCTCTTTCTTTCCTAAGAGGTCAGCTGTGCAATCCTTAACTTTCACTTGTCAAAAGGTAATAGAGTACATTCCTTTCCTCTTCTAACATCACATATGTTATTTTTGTGCTCACCTTCTTTTATCCTCCATATATATGTGTGTGTGTGTGTGTGTGTGTGTGTATACATATCCTCCATATATATATCTATATTCCAAATTGGATGTTGTCTTGTTTCTCCATATGACTATTATCAAGTGCAGATGCAATAAAAAAATGGTGGTCTGAAAGACCATATATGTCCTAACATTTTGCTAATCTAACCACAACGATTCCTGAATCACAGGATTCCTGCAGTTTTCTCATATATTTATAGGTTTGCTTTCATTTTATATCTTGCACTGAAATGTGATTATGTTTTTGACTCAGTATGATCTTAATTTTATAACTGACTCTTCACCAATTGACCGTGGCCAATTTGAACTTTATTTTTAATCACGAGACAATTATTTACCTCCCTTTCCAAAAATAAAATCCACAAATGAATGTCTATATTTGTAAAAGCCCTGTTCTGAACATCATCTAAGCCATTAGTAAAAATATTCAAGAGGTCTAAAGCTGAGTACCTCAGAATGCTCAGGAGCTAGGTCCTGTATTGGTTGGTGAGTTCTTCAGGTAGATTCATTTTATCCTTAAAATTAGCACAGTTCCTATTTAGTCTAGTTTTTCTTTCTCTGACACAAGTATACTAATTCTCTAATAAGTATAGAACTTGGCTTCTAAAAATATATAATTATTATTCTTTTTAAAATAGTGGTAATATATTTTGTTTAGTTTTGTTTTTTATTTTTAATATTATTCCTGAAAAGTAAAGGGTGGATTGTGCTCAGGGAATAAAAAGTGAACAGAAATTAGGGGCATAAAGAGCCATAAATAAACAGCAGTAGGTAAGAACAAATGATAAAGCGAAGCAGGAAAAAGCATTTAATAGATTGGAGGGTATTTGGCGAGTAGGAGGAAATGTGCAAGTAGGGTTACGAAGCCTGTCCTCAATTATTATAAATGCCACAAAGGCCCTCAAGGAGTTATAAAGCCGCTCTTTCATTTGAATGGTATGAAAGCCTCACATAATCTATTATAAAATAAATTACATTGCGTTCTGTAAGAAATGTTCTTTTCATAAAATTGAACATATTTTTGTGGGTTAATTGGCTCAGCATTAAAAATCCTTATTTTGGACTTGACATTGGGTCATAGTTTTTCCATCTGAGTATTCATGGAGTTTCAAGCTTAAGGAGTCCAAATAAATGTACAATGTAATTGTAGACAATGCCAATAAAATTCTAGGTCTACATTCCCCTCCACCTGACTACTTAAATTTTGGTCTGGGCACCAAAGCCATTGCCCTAACTGCTTTGGGTCACAAGGTACTTTTGTTCCTGATTCTGGTACCTGCGTTTGGCTCATTTCCCAATGTTAGTTTCCAGATATTACCCTGACCTCATTCCATGTAATTTTTTTTATGACTGCAGCATATATTCAGCATGCACACACACACATAAATGCATATTACACGTGTAAAGAGGATAAGTGAAATTACAGATAAAATGGTGGGGAGGTGGTAAGCAAGAATGGCTTGCTCTCTCCGTCTTAGCCTCCTTTCCTTTCCTTCCCAGACCACTGGCCCTGTGGGCCCTTTTCCAGCAAGGACTTGTGAAAGGTGGTTAGGCATGGATCAAACTTTAGAATATGATAGAGGTAAATCTATAGTGTAGGACAGTAGTGATTTAATGTGCTATTCAGAATTCCTTAAGCCTCACTCCAAGCTAGGAAAGAACGTAGTTACATATTAGAGAGACGGGAGAGAGAGAGGTAGCTAAGATATGGATTGTACTGGATAAATATGTCCTTGACAAATGAATGTGGGCACTTGGCCATATATCCACGAGAAGGAGGGGGGCCAAATGTGGATCCGCTTGTGCCAGGGCAGTGCTAAATGTATATCCTAGGATCATGTATGTATATGTATGTGTGTGTCTGTCTGTCTTTGAATAAGCACTTAACAGTCGCCCTCTGTAATATGAAGACTGTCGGCAAAATACATGACAATGATGATCCCTTCTAGGCACCTGTGACTTTTGATTCTTTTTCCACCTATAGTCAGAATTGTAGTTGATTATCTTATAGGCCTCTTTTGGGGCTCTAAGGAAGTTCAAAGGCCTTTGACTTGAATTGCTTCTTTGAAATTAGTATAAATGACTATAAAATGTGACACAACCCTTAAATTCTACACATAGAGCATTTACATATAAGGAAAATGTGAATAATTGAAATATTATTAAATGACATCTGTATTATAAGTAACTTCAAAATTATTGCCACAACCAAAATTGTACAGAATTATCAAAAAATACCTAATGTTCACGTTATAATTTTTTGGACAGTTAATTTAAACAATTAATTTATTTAAACAAATTTTAAGCTCTAGATTTCTTCAATTTTTATAACTCCCAGAATTTTTTGTAATGCAATCAACAAGATATACTAAAATGGTGGAAAGACCTTTATTTCCTTCCCAAGATTCTATAAAATTGAAAGTAGAAGTTGTATGGAAGTCATTCTCAACCCAAGGATTTTTTCAAATTATCTTCTAAATTTTTAAGAATTAATCATTTTTATTCACTTTCTTTAAACTTCTTTTTTACTTTATTTGTTCCACAATTCTTGTGATTCTAAATAATTTTCTTATAAACTAAAAGTCAAACTTAGTAATCAACTTCTTATAAATTTAAATAATTTACTGCATAAATCTTAACTTTTAGCGATCGCTTTGAATTTGAAAATAATTTCAATTATTGTTGATCTAGACCATATCAATTTATACATTTGTATCTAGAAAACGATCCTGGTTCTATGTTTTCTCGGGAATTAGAAAGTTTATTGAGCTAAAGGAGATAACTGCATCATCAACAAATTGCTCTATCAGTGGAAAGTTTCTTATATCATAATGCTTAACATGACACAATGAAGAAAGGTCAAACTGGTTTTTATCTCAAAATATTCTGCTTATTATCAAATATTTCTGAGTGAAATAGGGTAGTTAATTGCTAAATAATATGAAACTGATGAAATATCAGTGGTGCCAATTTATTATATACTCAAATTACAGAAGAAAATTGATTTTGTAAAGACACATGCATAACTCATCTTTATTTTTCTTTCACTTTCATATACATGTATTTATCACAGTTCCTTGAACAAACATTCAAACTTTCTCTCACTCCTTTTACACAAGTTGAGATTTAAAACTAACTCATAGGCTTTTTTTTTCCTCCTGCAAATCCCCAGAATTGCACCAGAATTAGGACAGCCTAGATTAGAATTATTTAGAAGCCTAAAGTAGAATGTATGTGCTTCTGAAAATGTATTTGGTAAGCATGTATAGGTTTTGAGAGCATCAAAAGCATGTGACTGAACACTGCTAAGATAAGTTCGCTGTAGTCAGAAGCTCAGACTTCAAACAATTGTAGTATTCCAGGCACCTGCCACATTAAAACCACACCCTTCACTTTTGACCTGAGCCAAAGTCTATGGAATTTCAGTGATTAAGAGGCTCCTCACTCTACTACAAAGTCAAAGAAGGAAAAAAAATCAGGGAGGTGAACATATTAATAGTTGAAATATTTGGTGGCCTAATATAAAGGAAGAAGGACCTGGACAATAAAATTGTGAATATGTGTAGCATCTTTGTCATTTAAAGAAAGGTTAAATTATATAGTATCCACTGGATACATACGTAAAGAATTCAATACATATGTAAAGAATTTCACTTATCTGAAAAATATATGAGCATTGAAAGCATGTTTCCCAAAGTGTCGTATAATAGGAAGACCTGGATAGGATATCAAGTATTTGAGGTGGGAGGGTGGGGTAGGGTAATTTTGAGTACAGGTGTAATTTTGAGTGTATAGAGCAAATATTTAAAATCAGAAGGTATATTAAGTCTCAATGGAACAGATATATGCATATTTAAGCCAAAATTACTTATGTCTGAATAAACTACTTTGGTAAAAATAAAGTATTTCTTATTCCAAGTTGTCATCCTCCTGATAGCCTGCCTGTTTCTAGGCCACTTATATCCATGGGTTATTAAATGATTAGGGAATACAAAATTTAATAGCTTACTCTAAAGCCTTTTAGAATGAGGCACAGGTATAAATAACAAATGTATGAAAAAGGAAGACAAATTTTAATATTTGTGTACATATATAATACTTGGGAAAATATATCTTCTTTGGGGAAAATTATTTTAGAATAAATGGGAGATTTAGTTTCTAAAAGAATTATTATTGTCAACAATGCCATGTAGTTCAGGAAAAGCAGAACTTAGAATGGTCAGCAAAAAGACCCAAATTAATTATACACATCAGAATACCACCTTGTGTTTATATAGCACCTGTTTCTTAGTAGGTGAGAGAACAATGACACAAGGTTTTTGTTTTTGTTGCTTTAATTTTGTTTTGTGTCCGGCATTTATTTTGTTGTATTAATCAATACTTGTTATACAACCATGTAGTTGGAAAGATGTTGGTCTCATTTATGTTTTACTAATTTGAGAATAGATTTAGAAATACAGGTCACTCAAGAAAGTTCTTTTGGGAGCTTTTTCATGCTGTCTTGGAAACGCCTAGTTTTCTCCAACATTGGTTGCTAGAGCTGCTGTTTTAATTTTTGCACCATCAGATTTTTCAGTGGGCTCTTTTATTTGTTTGTCAGTAATCATTTTTTTCATAGCCTTCTTTTTTCAGCCACACACAAGTTAGAGAAGAAAAATAGTCTCCCTTTCATTAGGATTTTGTCTACACAAATAATATCCGTGAATATTTCTAACTGCAAAGTAGCCTCTCTAGTTGACTAATTCTCCTGTTGAAACTCTTTGCAACAATTGCTGCCATAATGAAGCACCACCGATTTGGAACCCTTCATTCTGTTTTGCCACAAAGGACATGTTGCTAAGCCACATTTCTCAGTGTTTTCAGACTCACTTACTCCACATAAAAAGCCAATGTATTTTTTTTGGAACTCTGAGAGTAAGAATTTTGTCTTCAAACTATCACTTCATTGGGCAGACCAGTCTTACAGATTGTTTTGTTATTACATTTGTTTTACATGGAATCTGTTAGAATACAATGGATTCATCAGTCCTATTTGACCAGCAGTATGCTCCACCTTCCCCCCATTTTTTTCTGTATTTAATTCCTAACTACCTAGCCCTTATTTTACCCCATAATTACATAAATTAAATGTATATGTTTGCTTGTGCATGATTATTATATGTGACCGATATGGAAAATAAAGATAAAAGGAAATAAGTAATTTTACTCTCATGGTTTGCTAATTTTTAATAGTCATATTAAATTTTCTCATAGAACCCTAGCATGCAAGCAATTTACTTAATTAAGCTTTAGAGTGATTTATACCGAAACTGAATGCCACTACCTTAGAAACCTTTTATTAAACTATGTTTCTCAGGTATAGCTTTTTGAAATTGCATTTTGATTAAAGAAAGTTCAGTTTAGTTCAGTTTTTCACTGTTTTAAAACTCATGAAATGACAGAGAAGCAAATATTTATAATGCAGTTTATTATTAGGAGTTTGAAAACCATTAGCTAACAACATCTGCCATTTATTTTTATTATGTAAGCTCTTGTGTACATAACATAGCTTAATATGGGAACATCTTCACTCTTCTATTCCATTTTATATGTGTTTGTTACTTTTCGAAAGTCTGAAAAATAAATTGTTGTGTTTTGCTTTTTAGTAATCAGTAAATCTCTTTCAAAATGATGGTCAATCTTTGTCAGCTTTAACACACTCCATAAGAATTGCCTACTTATTTATTTGCTGTGTTGAGAAAAAAAATATCTGGCATGCAATGAGTTATCCTGCAGTGATTGCTGTCAAGCAGCAGCACATGCACACTCAGTTCCACAGTTTGTGCTAACAACCATTGTTGGACCAGGCATTTCTCCAAAGCTCATGAGTTAGGGAATGGTAATTATAGCAAGTTGTGTATTATAAATAATGCATGTATGTTCCGCATGAGCTATGTGGGATTTCGGCCCATTTGCTAGAACATAGTTGCATAATGATTTGTTTGGATTTTGTTGCAGATGATTGATAGTGCAGAATGTTGGCAATGATGTAAATTACTGTTGGGCTGCCTTGAAATTTTCAGTACAAGTGGTGATTTCTTCTCTTTTTCTGTGTGCTTGTCTAGTCTCGGCAGACACCTGAGGGTGAGTTCCTTCCCCTTGACCAACTTGAACTGGATGTAGGTTTTAGTACAGGGGCAGATCAACTTTTTCTTGTGTCCCCCCTCACAATTTGCCACGTGATCGATGCCAAAAGCCCCTTTTATGACCTATCCCAGCGAAGCATGCAAACTGAACAGTTCGAGATTGTCGTCATCCTAGAAGGCATTGTGGAAACAACTGGTGAGTAAAAACAGATATGCCATAAAGTTTCTTTATACCATAATGACATTATATGATATGCACAATACCTGTCATGAATTGGGCGAAATGACTCAGAGTTTACAATAATGAAAGTAATGATTTGCCTTTCATTTCTTTGTAACATTAAATTGATACCATTTTGAAAATTAAAATGTACTGTTTTGATGGTTACATAGATAATATTAACTCTGGAACACTCACTGTAAAAAAAAAGTGGGATGACTTCTTATAAATGATTATGATGTTCTATTATAATTACAAACTTGACTTTCTTATAATCATGATTTTTCTTTAAAGATTTAAGGCTCAAAAAAGTAGGGTAATTATTGAGCAGCCTGAAATCAGCATGCATATTCTGGCCTTGGGGATGGTGATTTGGGGTGTCATTGATAGAGCTTTGATATCCACTATGTGCAACCTCAGTGGAAAATTCCCTGTGTGTGTGTCTGTGTGTGCTGTGTGTGCTAAAGCAGCATTTTAATATCGAAGTGGGTCAGCGGATTTCCCCAGCTGAACCTTGACCAAAATTTCATTTCAAAAAGATATTTTTTTCTTTTTCTGCTCCTGTATAGCTATGTGCTATATGTTTCTCCTTAACATCCAATATAACTTGGTATGCCCCAAATACTATTTGCTATTTTCTGAGGACAGTTAAGTTGACAAAGGAAATAAACAATAGTTATGAGCATATTATTTGGGGCCTACACATTGCTTAGTTTGGAAGCTACTGGATGTTTGAGATTAATAATGTAGTTTCCATATAATTGTATGTATACGTATATGTGTGTGTGTGTATGTGTATGTGTGTATTTTGAGTTCTATGCTTTCTACAAGTACTGAGAAGACAATAAATATTTTAGCTTTTAATTGTTTTCTACCACTATCATCTGAATTATATAATACTAATGATTATGTATAAACTATAGCAATATAGAAATTAGCACTGGCAATACTACAGATAAATTCAAGCTTTATACCAAGGTGGAAGATCCTCAATTATGTAACAGTCAGTATTGTCCAAGTAATAGAGGGAGGCTAGTCATTGTAATTTTAGCATGTCTGTCACATAACACCTATCTGAAATTTACGCAAGATATCTACTCTCTTAAAGCTTCTTTTCCTTCTCTTCAAAGTGAGGATGATATAATAACCACCTCAAAGCTGCTTGTAGTATTTTAAACTGAAGCACTATTATTAGTTACTGAAGCACTATTATTATTACGATTTTAAGGGCAGTGAAAAAAGATTTAATGTATTAATCTATATATGAAATTTTATTTCTGCATACTATTTTATGATTTAAAGCTCCCATTCATTTTTTCAACTTATAATTGAAATATCATAGTATTTTTTAAAATACCATATATTGATAAAAAGTATAACCAATATATAAAGGCTCGTAGTCCAAGAAATCTTTACATTTCCATTTTTACTCATCTCATTTATTAAAGTAGTAATGTATTAGGGCTTAAAAACAGATGTTGCCATTTTTATTGGTTTATTTCTTATGGCATATGGTTCTTTCTTTCATACATCTGCTTATAGTTTACCAATTGCTTATTATTATTCTCATCACTGACATTAATGCATTTTTGCTTCACTTGACAGCCTTAAAAATGTTTTATTAGATCTATCTATCTACTTATCTATCTAGCTACCCGTTCATTCATTTCTGTTTTTCCCTAAATACTGAATATATTTGTTAGGAGTGAATGCGTTTTTCTATAAAATCACGGTCTGAAGATGTTATAGTTCTTCAACATTATTTTGTGTTTCTTAACCTTAATATACTTGAAAAATTAGGCCGGGTATTTTGTAGAATATCTCTCAATTTGGAAATGTCTGCAGTATCCTTATTCATTATTTTGATTTTTGGCCCCTACATGGCATCTTAAGGGAATATTGAAGCAGGTTGTTTGTAAATTTTACCTATTTTTCAGAGGATCATGGTTAGTACATAATATCCTACATGAGATTGTAAAGAGTTTTATAACGTAAATTGTTTATTAGAATTATAGATGTTATTTTACCATTTTCCCCCTCCTGCCTAAAAAGAAATAATAAGCTGGAAGACAATACTTTCCACAGAAAATGTGAAAACTTGGCTGGAGATTGAATTTCTTATTTAGAGATTGCCTTTTATGGAGAAGAGATTAAAGTCCACTTCCTCTTAACCTCTTAATTAAACCTGTTTTCTAGATCTAATATAGCAAGACAAATAAGAAAAACATTACTCATAATTTATAGAATTTATTTTGTGGAAAATTTATCTGACATTTTGTTTGTGTGTATGCCCTAACTAATTAAATCCCACACTGTTCAAACTCTATAAAATCTCTGTATATTTCCAGACCTCCCTGAGCCTGGTAAAAATAACAAAGACATTCTTATGTCCATTTGATCATTTAAAATTTTACTGAGATTTATTTGGTTTCATCTTTGAGGATGTTTCTTCCTTTATCCTTTCATTCACAATGAACTTTACTTTCTCATAATACGTATTGCCTAGAACAAGACAAATATGATCTTATGGGATTGTTTCAGGGAACAAGAATACTGTTTTTACTTCTTACTATCTTGTGAATAAACTTTTCACTACTTTGTGAATAAAGTTAGCTGATGTAACTTTCTATCATATTTAACATTAAAAAACAGCTTTTCATCTTTCAGTCACTCATGTATTAGATAAGTATGTATCGAATGTGTGTTGTGTCCTTGAAAGTATGTGAGATGCTAGAGATATAGTGGTGACCCGGACAGAAAGAATTTCTTTCCTCAGGGGGGTTATATTCTAAGGAGGTGGCAGACTATAACAGCCAGATAAATAAGGGAGATATCAGATAACATTGTGTTGCGGGGGGTGAGCGTGGGGAACCAATACTCAGGAGGCCGAAGTGGAAGGATTGCTTGAGCCTGGGCGACGCAGTGAGACCCTGTGTCTAAAAATAAATAAATAAACAACAAAACCAAGGTGACGGGATAGGGATAAAGGGTTCCTGTAGGCTGTTTTAGGCTAATAGGGAAGGTCTGAAGAGGGGACACTCAAGCTGAGACCTGACTATCCAGAAGGCCCTTTTGGTCCAGTCTGGGGGAAGAGCGTGGCAGATGCTGTGGAACAGCTGGTGCAAGGGCCCTGAGCTGGGAATGAGCTTGATTTATTCTGGGAACTAAAAAAAAGGTGGAGGTGGTTGTAGCAGAGTGAGCCATGTGGAGAGTGGGGTGAGAAGTCAGAGAGGAGGAAGGGCCTATCTGCATTCTAGATGGTTTTATTGCAGCAATAGGAAGTGTTAGGATTTCATTAAAAAGCAGAGCCTGTATTTATACGAAAGAGTAATAATTTAGTAATCTCAAAATGTATATAACAACAAAAAATCCACTTTTTACCCATAGTGGGTTGCATGTAGTTAATTTAAAAATTAGTCATTCTGAATGTCTTGGAAATGCATTCTGAGACACTCTGATGCCTCAAAAATGCACAAAATTTTAGACAGCTACCACTTTTGTATCAATTATCTTCCCTCTTTTACCCTCCTACCCTAGCACCCCTACCCAATTTCTCCATTCACAGCAGTGTGCCGGTGGTAAGAATCTTCTCATTTCATTTAGTTTTTGCTCATTCCTATTGCTGTGGCCTCAGCAGGAGTGGTGGGGGGAGGGAAGTGAGAAATTAGCTTCCTAATTTTCTTGAGAGTTTCAGCTTTCAGCCCAGGACTCAAATGTTATTTTCCCCACTTTTTTGGAAGTACTCCTCATTGATCAGACACAGGTTTGTTGCCCTCCTTGCTTCAAATGAGTTGGATTTTCACTCTCAAGCCTTGCCTCTTCATTAATAAGCTTTACATCTTTGCTCATCTAGCAAATTTCAAAACAGAGGTTACCTCTCACTCTTGCTCTCTTTGCAACTTCTCCCAGGAGAGAGAGCACTGCTAGAGGCAAACAAAGCATTGCAGATTTGGCTCATTAGAACTCCATGCTTTCAAACTTCAATCTGGTTTCTGCTGCTATTTGGCAGTCTTTTTAATTGTCTTTTCTGTACTCTCAGGCCTGCTCCCCATGGGATCTATTTTAGACCTTTTCTCTCTTTCTACACTCCCAGTCCCAGCTGTCCCATCCCTGCCTTGGCATGTCATCTCTCCACCTAGTCTATTAAAAAGAATGAGACACTTCAATTTTTATACATTCCTTTATCTCTATTCTTTTCTCATAGTTAGCTTCTCTTTCTCTTTCCTGGTGTCTGTGGAGAAAAGTATCTATTCTTTTCCGAAACTGTGTCTTTTATAGCTACAAATGTTTCTTATGCATTGCTTTCCACCACCTATGACTCAAGCTCCAATTCTTAGCATCCCTGACACCTAAATTCCCATTGACTCCTTTCTATTTGCTCTGAAATATTTTCAGTTCTTTCCTACTGGAAAAAAATAAAACCTTATTATTTATTTGTCCCTTTATACATTTAAGGTTATTTCTGAAATTCAGACACATTACATTTTCCCCGCTTTCTCTCTCTCTTTTTTCTTTCTCTTTATATTTTTCAATTGTTCCATATATCCTACATCCCTGCTTCTTCCTACTCCTCCTCGCTCCTGTAAATATTTTTTAGTTTTTCCTTTCTAGTCTAGATATTTCCTTTCTTTTAGTGAACTCACAAAGTGCTCACAAGTCCACCATTTATTTTATCTCCAGATATGAAACTTACCCCCAGCTATGGTCTTCTATTTGTTATTTAATTTCTAGGCCAATTTTTTCCACTTGAATGTCAGTATTTTAATTCAAAGTCACCTTGTCCAAATACCAAGTCATCAACTTACCCTCAAATTATATCCTCATTCAGAAAATCTACATCTATTAATGGTAGCTATTTTATCCCTGCCCCCTGTTTTTTCTTTTTATATTTAATTAATTTGTTCATCCAGCAAATGCTTATTGAGCAGGTATTGTAGGCTAAACAATTCTAGACTTTAAGGGACACAGTTTGCAAAACAAAATCCCTGCCTTGTATGGATACTTATGTAATGTGGGATACAGACAATAAACATAATGAAGTGCATCATATATAATGTTAGAAAATGATAAGTGCTTTGGGAAAAAAATGCAGCCAGGCAAGAGGGATTGGGAGTGTAGGGAGGTCAGGGAAGGCTGAGTAAACAGGTGATAGTTGAGCTGAAACTCAGTATTTTGAGCAAAGCAAATATTAATAACTCAGAGTAGAACTTTCCAGGTAGAAATATTAGCAATTACAAATGCTCCAAGGGGGCAGGGTACCTGGCTGCTACTCCCTGTTAGTAATAACTCTCAATTCAACTATTCCTTTTTAAGCCCACATCACGGTACTTCTAAATCACAGTAGTTGTTTCAGAAATGGATTTAGTACCTGGAGGATCTCTGTTTGCATACAGATAGCAAAATACTGCCTGGTAAATTTGTGTACAACACTACTTTCATGATATACTCGTACTCAAAGCCCCTAATGACTGCTCCATCAAAATACACACATTTCTTATTGAGAAAATTAGGCTGCCCTTCTTATGGTACTGCTCATACACTCATGCTCACTCTTGCCTCCCATATTTGTGATCATGTCATTTTTCACTGCCTAGGATAGGATTTCTGCCTTTTCTCATATAGCACAAGAGTGGCATATTTGTTGAATCTTCCCTGGGCACTTTAATCCATAGTTTTTCTTCAATACCTCATTAAAACAAAACTTTTACTATGCAAGTGCTATTAAATGCATGCTTATTATAGAAAAAAGTACAAATATGCAAAATATAAAACTTTACTCTTAATTTTATCTATCGCACTGTTAACACATTTGTGAGTAAGGTGCTTATATTCAGATATATTATTCTTGTGCTACATGTGCCATGTTATAACTGGCTTTATTGTATAATCTATTGTTAATCCCTTTCGTGTCAAGTTACTGATCTACACCATTACTGATTTACACCAGTAAAGTTTTAATGACTTTACTATATGCTAGTTTATATATCTATCTCAATTTTTTATTACTTATCTCCTAGTTTTGGATCTTGAGACATTTACTTTTTAATAAGGTTAAATACTATTATAGGCCCTAGTTTCAATTTACTTATCACCAACTTTACCATTTTAGATAAATTCTCTGCAGATAGAATTTCTGGGTAAAGGCACATATATATCTGCTGGTTTGTAATACATATTGCAGGGTTGCTACCAAGTGCCCGTTTCCTCATACCCTTGCTAATAATGGACATAATTATTTTATTTTTTCATTATTTATTATTATTATTATTTTGAGATGGAGTCTCATTCTGTTGCCCAGGCTGGAGTGCAGTGGTGCGATCTCGGCTCACTGCAAGCTCCGCCTCCTGGGTTCATGCCGTGGGTTCATGCCGTTCTCCTGCCTCAGCCTGCCGAGCAGCTGGGACTACAGGTGCCTGCCACCACGGCCGGCTAATTTTTTTTTTTTTTTTTTTTTTGTATTTTTAGTAGAGATGGGGTTTCACCGTGTTCGCCAGGATGGTCTTGATCTCCTGACCTCATGATTCGCCTGCCTCGGCCTCCCAAAGTGCTGGGATTACAGGCATGAGCCACCACGCCTAGCCCATTATTTTTTTTCTTTGATTATTAATAGTAGTGAGATTGAAATTATTGTATCTCTCTATTGGCTACGAATTTTATTTTGCAAATTGTCAGTTAATATTGGTCATTTGCTTGCAACTCTTTTTATGCATACATTGCTCTTATAATTAACACATTATTAAAAAATGTTTCTAGCAGTCTGAATACTTTTATGAAAATGTTTTCTTAATGTGTATGTGTATAATTGTATTATATTTAACTCAAGTGTTTTACTACATCTCTGAATAAACTATAAACTTCCGATATTGGTTACGGACTTTGTTTATGGCTACTTATTTTATATGCCATAGATCCTGGAAAGTGGTAGAACCTAGTAAAAACATTTGATCTGTTTGTTTTTATTTGTAACTGATTTTAATAGAGTTGCCTTCCTCTTATAAGCTTACTCTTGTGAATTTTTTCTTACAGGAAATTAATCAGTAAGTGTTTGTTGATTACCCATGTTATTTTAGGTTCAAGATAGTATAAGATTGATTAAGGAGAAAGTCCATAGTCCAGAGGGAAAAACGAACTGAACTAAATCAAGTATTAGCACTGTGTACTCAAATGAATGTTAAGTTAGGCTACAGCAGGGACCTAGAGGAGTGGTCCCTAATGGATTTCTTCCAAAGGAGGTCCGAGAAGTCTCTCCTGAGAACATGGTGTGAACTGAAACCTGAAAGTGAAGCAGAAGCTCAGCAGGAGAGTAGAGGGAGCTAAGCCTTCTGGCCAGAGACAAGTGCAGGCACTTAGGATTCATTTTATTAGGGGTGTCATAAATAATTTGGTATGATGAGAGTGTAGAACAAGTCTAGGGGAACTGACTGGAGATGAGCCTAGAATTAGCCCTGGATAACAGTTTGGACCTAATTCTGCAGGCCATAAAGCTCTTGAAGGATTTTAAGTAAGAGAACACCATGATCATATTGGTGTGATAGAAAGATGCCTCTGGCTCCAGGTGGAGGATGTGCGGCTGAGACTGGAGACAGCCCAGTTATTAAGCTGTTACAATAGGCTTGACCAGAGGTAATTGGGTCCTTCATGAAGTTGTCTGGCTCAGCAACCTGTGACTGTTTAAAATAATTTAAAAAGCCCTTGGTTTCCAAGATGTTACTTGTGATTAGGGAAAAATGGCCCAGGATTCTTCCTCCCGAAGTTCTGTAGGCTACTTAAAAATCCAAGACACCCAAATACATAAAAATGATAAATTAAGAATGATAAATAAAACAGCACTATCAAGCCCTTGACTCTTTTCCTGATTAGTGAAAAACAGCTAGGAATTTTCTAATGAATATATCATAAAGTAGAAGCTCCACTTGTGAAAAATTGAGGTGTACCTGTAATTTTCCTCTCTTAATGATTTGACAATGTTTAGCTTTATTAATTATAATTAATCATAACTTTTTAGTGATCTGTCAAAAGACAGGATCAGCAAACTACGTAGTGTTATGGTAAGTGAGGTAGTACTCTACTGACCATTGGAAATGTTATTTATCCTTCGTAATTGCAGTTTCTGGGTCATTAGCCTGTGAGCTCCTCACTCTTGTTATAGCCATATCTAAGTCAGGGGTATCATGTTTACCTCTCTAGTTTCCTTGTTTCCGCCCAGATTGCTGATTCCTTTTAAATTAATTGTTGGTGTTTTAGAAGACTTACTACCTTATCAGGAAAAACTAATGGCACATGGATTTGTATAGATTGGACATCTCAAAGTAGGTTCTTCCTGGAAATTTCTATTGTTATATATTTGTTATTTATTGCTTAATTGTGAATTTATTTCTCTTTAAGATATATCTTATCAGTAATTCATAGGTCAAAACTCAAACTTTTTGAGGCCACACATTCCTTTTTAATCTAAAGCAACTTTTTATGAGGAGTTCCTAAATAAAATCCTACTTTACTATTTTCTTTTGATAGGTAATTGTAGAAATTTTCTGCAGACTTATGAAAATAATACTTAAATATTGAAGCATGAAGTAGGGTGACAACTGTCTTAGTTTGCCTGAGGCTGAAAGGTTTTCCAGAACATGTGAAATTCAGTGCTAAAACCAAGAAAGTCCTGTGCAAACTGGGATGGTCACCTTACTCAGCAGTCTGAGAATGTTAAATCAGCCTTCCTAACTGCCTGCCTCAATTTAATTGAGAAGTTTACTCTATTGATAGTGAAATGTCTTTTTGCACTTAGGATTGGTGTATTCCACCATTTCCTTACTTTACTTTTGTCAAGACTGAAATCACAAAAATACGTAAAAAGAATATTTGCACATACGTTATTTTCTGTATGGTTTTCATTGCAGTGTTTTATAGAAAATTTAATTAACACAGCCCTTAACATCTTAGAGTGGACATTTTTCATTAATTGTGTGGGAGGCTGGTATGGGTGAATTACCATACTAATGTGAAGTGGGTTGAAATACGGTTGACACTACCTTTGTCATAATCTAGACTTATATGGATAAAGGAAGTCAGCAAGCCTTATGGATAATCTAGTTAATTTTTAAATGTAAGCACAGGAAAATTGTAATTGGGGGACAAGCAGATTTGGTTAAGATGCGTCATAGTGCAGTTACAAGGAACTGCACAATTTACACTAATTCATTTCCAGAGTTTTTTCAAGATGAGGTCTTGGGACTACCTGTATCATAATCTCATGGGATTCTTATTAAAATGCTGACTTGTGTGCCCTCACCTAGATTTACAGTGTTAAAATGTCTGACGTTTGTGGTCCAGGAAATGTGCATTTTTAAAAAACACACAACTAATTCTTAGTAAAAGCACTAAAGTATAGGACTCCTCCATCTAGCAACTAGGAAAGCCACTAGTATTTATTGAATTAACTACTCAACTGCAATAGCTTGACTTAACCTAAGCCATTGGCATGTGGTAAAACTGGAAGAGAACATAGCCCTTTAAATTTCTGAAGTCTTCGGAGGTGAATCTTTGTTAATTCAGACTGTGCCGATCAATGTAGCCAAATGAAAATTAATGTGGGTAGAAAACAGTGAAAATCAAGAGTATGAATTAAAATGCATGACTATTCATTACCATAACCAAGAACAAGATGTGATATTTATTGTGGAACATTGTGTGAAGATGTAATATAAATGCCATGCAAGGATGTTAGTGCCACTCACTGATGGAGAGAATTCTGATCCTTGAAACTGCTACACACTCATGAAACCAGAACACCATGTGCTATTATTTACTGTTTCATGGGAGAGAATATCATTATGCTTACAGCAAAATTCAAAATGACAATTTTCATAATTTTACACGGAGGCTAACACTGGCTGTTAGTCATTTAAACTATTTGAGGGCTTCCTTTTCTGGGGAAAATTTTCCAAAGTTAACAGAGATTAAATAGAAATATGCTTTTAAGAGGTAATGATAATGAGTGGATAAGGGCTGAGGTCCAGACAGAGTGAGTCTCTCTTGACAAATAAACATTTTAGGCCTAGTTTGACATTGCCTCAATTTGATTAGTTTTAACTTTGTTATTTCTATGCCCCAGGCTCTGTCTGAAAAAGAACTAAGATTATTTGACCTGCTGGATTCATAGCAGTGACCTTAGCACTCAAATTCCAGTAGAAAATCATAACTGCACTTATTATTGCAGTATTGAAAATACATGTTCAATGAGATAAAATAATATGAAGTTATTTTATGAACTGGAACATCTTAATATTTATTAATGGTGGAAGCAGAGTGCCATCAGAATATTGAGAAAATATCCTCTTGGGACAGGGTAGGGAGGGAAGGAAGGAAGACCATCAATTCTTTGTTGTCCAGGGGTGACTTACCCTTGAAGCATATTATTAACTGTGGTGATTACATATGGGGTGTATTTGTTTAGCCTTTTATGTCAAAAATATACTCATAAGCCTAAGAGTAGCTCTAGTTCTGATCCATTCCTGCTGCCCACCTCAGAGAAGAGCTATGTCTAGACCATTTTAGAGGGATGATTAGATCTTAAAGCCTTTTGAAGAAAGAACATCTTAGTCTCCCTTAAATTACTGTCAAGCGATTTTTCCATATGACTCTAAATTAATTTTTAATATAATTTAAGCCCTCAATTTTATTTTACTTTATTTTCATTTCAGATTCCTTGTCATTTAAGTTGGAAAATGTCCTGTTCATATTTCAGAGCCCTCTTATTCACATGTAGTACCGACTCTGTGCTATACCTTACCATTTAGATACAGGTAAAATCTGGTTCCTTGGAAACAAAATTTTCTCCCAAACACACATGAATATGAGAGGGTAAGTGTGGGAAGGGATGAATGCATAGTGCTTTGATGACTAGAGAAGGTTTGGACCTTATGAACTGAACGTATGTGTATGTGTATGAGCTTTCAGCACTATTTTAGTACTTTTTCTTCACTAAGGGTTTACTTTCTGACTCATGCTCCTGATTCAGCAGTTCCCCAGAAATGGCTTCAATCCTTCTGTATTTGGCAGCACTACTTAGAGAATGTAGAAGGAAAATGATGTAGCCTCTTTGTGTGTGTGTGTATTTATTCAGATTAGCATTATCGGCTCCAAAAATGTTTCAGCATGTGTTATCTAGTTTTTTTTTTCTATTTTTGCTTTGCTATACATTTTTCCCAGTGGCCTTTTAAAAAAATCCTTCATTACCCTCCATTTTAATTTTTCTACGTTCTGTGCAAAGCTTTGTTAAACTCATATGATTTATTCTATTCATTCAGTTAAGATTTTTAATGTTTTATAGCCTGTAGATTGTATAACAGTAGTGCTTTACAATAATCTTTTACGCAAAAGGTCAGGTCTTTTAAGTGTTTAAAGCCAGTTTTCTAAAATTGAGGGTAGGCTTTGTTCTTGAACTTTCTATGTCCCATGCTGTGTAGCACACTGATCTATTGGTTTTAATTGAGTTATTGCATATTGTTGGAATTCAGTCTAACAAGCTGAATTTGTCTTGTCTGCTAAATATATCTAAAATATTACTAAATGAAGAGATGTAACAGAGAGCTCTCCTGGGTTCCAGGTTCTACTAGACCAGTAGTACAAATGCCAATTAAAATACTGTTTCTTATTTGAACTGATCATTTAATCATATCTGCTTGATATGTCTTCTCTGGCTTGGATAAGCTTGGTAAAATCTAACACGACATGTTCAGCTTTGGAAAGGATATTTCTTACTTTTTTTTTAATAGTGGAAGCCAGAATATTATTGGAACCAGAAAAGGATAAGAGTTGGAAAAAAAGGCACATTTATGATTTTTAAAATCTTAGCTACCATCAAGTTGAATAGTAGAATTGGAATGATAAAATTATAAAGATAACATGCACCTTAATGATAATCTAGTTAAAACCCTCTATTTTACAGAAATGGAAACTGTGATTCATTGAGATGAAACAACTTGTCTGTCTTCTCAGAGTCCATTGGTGGAATGATCTGGAATATGTTTTTGTGCTTTGATTCTTATTCCAGCGTTCTTCTCATTACCAATAATGTTTCAGTTATTTAAATGCATGTCTTGCTTGCCCACTTTAAAATAATTTATAATGACATAAAGACTATATTTTGTTAACATTTGTCAATAATCTTTTCTATTTCTAGGGTCTAAGTTTCAGATCAGATAGATAGTTGCCTAGCTAACTAGAGAGGGAGGCAAGTCAATAGATTTTTGTCTCATAGGTAGGCCTTCTCTTGAACAAAACTACAAAGATTTTTTTTTTTTGCAGCAAATACACTAAAAGTTGTAGCTATTAAGACAGCCATATTGTCAGTAACTGTGCATAAACAAACTACGTATCAAGCACTGTGCCAGACACTGAGTACACAATGGTGAATAAGAAAGTCTAAGGGTCTCAGCCAGTATAATTCATAATCCAGTGAGAGACAAAAACATGTACACAGGCAGTGATGAGTAGTGTAAATTGGGAAATGTGCCATGCTACTAGGGGATGGATGAGATCACAGTTTAAGCTTGGGAAGAATGAGTGAGACTTGGCAAAGAAGGGGGAAAAGAATATTATCAAAAGAGTGAAGAAAGTTGGGGGACCTCAAGTGTAAGAGAAGAGAAGAACTTGCTGTTTAAATAACTGAATGACATTCATATGGTTAGAGGTAGAGTGTGTGTGAGCTAAGTGTATTTCAGGAGATGTTAGTGGAAGAGTAAAGGCTGGAAAACGTAGCACTTTTAAGTCACGTATGTGCACTTAACTGTAAATGGCAATGGGGGAGCCATAGATGGTTTTTAAGCAGGAAAATGACATAATCACAATTGCACTTTAGAAAAAAACCACACTGACTGACCTTGGAGACAGTGTAAAATAGGGCAAAACTGGAGGTGGGTAGAACAATTAGGGTATTATGGCAGTAATTGAGTTGAGAGATGATCATTTATTCATTTATTGCTAGAGGAAGTTTGAACAAGTATCCACTTTTGGCTGGGGTATAGGGGAAGACTTGAAAACTCAAAGTATGTAACATTTAATTTTTCCCTTGATAAAGTTTCATGCTTGAAGATGGAGGGGAAGATATTTAAGATGGTAAAACAGTACAGGTTAGAGGGTATGAAAATGCAGGAAATAGGCTGAGCATGGTGGCTCGTGCCTGTCATCCCAGCACTTTGGGAGGCTGAGGCAGTTGGATTACTTGAGCCCCCAGGAATTCAAGACCAACCTGGGCAATATAAGAAGACCCTCTATCTGCAAAAATTACAAAAATAATAGTGGGATGTGGTGGCACGTGCCTGTGATCCCAGCTACAGGGGTGACTGAGATGAGAGCATTGCTTGAGTCTGGGAAGTCAAGGCTGCAGTGAGCTGTGATGGCGCCACTGCACTCCAGCCTGGGCAACAGAGTGAGATCCTGTCTCAAAAATAAAAAGATAAAATAAAAGCAGGAAATATATAATGGAAGAGTTTCTAAATTTAGGTTTGGACTGCAGGGTGAGGTATACGAAGAGGAATAAGATTAAACAGTAAGGTGTAAGCTAGAAATGTATTGGGAGTAGGTTGTGGATAGCTGAGAGAGCCAGACTTTCACTTTATGAGGCAAAAAACAAACAAACAAACAAAAAGGGAAGCTACCACAGGTTTTTGATCAGGAGATCGCTGGGATCACATTTGTATTTAAGGTCTTTGGGTAATAATGTGTAAAATAAGTAACAATAATATACGTAATATTGTCTTTCTCATTTTATTATGTTTTGTGTTTGTTTTGTCCCTTTTGTGAGAGGATAAATGAATGTAGTTTGTATTCATTTAGCTTTGTAAAAAATGCTTTACATTAATGGGGTAAGTACATTTAAAAACTAGATTAAATATGCTCAGTACTTCAGTAAAAACAAATTGTCCAAATTATTAATTTTACAACTAAAAATACAAAAATTTATTTTTAGGAGAGTATTTAGATACCTAGAATGAGTTTGTGTTCAAAACATAGTCTTTTAAAAATCCTTCAGAGTGATATGAAGATAAATTACAATTTATAGCTTAAATTATAATTCCAAATTATAATTAGATTTCTAAAAAGCTTTTTAACAGGAAATCTGTGAAAGCATTTGAATCACCCAATTATACATTTGTATTTCGTAATTTAAAATTAAATTCTAGAGAGCACTGTTGAATCATATACCACTTGTCTTTCAGAATTCTTTAATAAAGAAAAGAATGACTCTGTGAAGAAAAAACAAAATATCAGAAACTTGATATATGTTAAATTAGATTTATGCTTTGTGTGAAGATAAAATGGTGAATGTTATAGTTACAGAAATCAGTCTCATGGTGACAATTTCCCATTAATAAAATACCATGAAGATCTGAGATTACACAGTGTTGTTGTGGGTGTGTGTCTGTGTGTGCATCCTGGCTTCTGATGCACACACTTAAGGTTAATCGAGGACCATTAAAATATAATCATTATTATTATTATTTTATCTATGCTATTATTAGAATATCTTAGTTCAGTAAGTGCTGACTATAGATAAATTCTGCCCTATTTTTTGAACGAAATGCATTTAAACTGATTCAGGTAAAGAAAGGTATAGATAAATCAACTTTTCGTACAGCTCGAGAATTTTCTTTTGATGTGTCGCCAAGGTCAGCCTAAGTTATTAAACATTTCCTGCTCATGCAGTGAGCAAGCAAAAGTGAGAGTAGAGCATAACCTGTTGAAGAATGCTTTCCCTACATATTTCAATTCCTGGAACTGTGCCAGCAATTATGTACTATAGGAATGGTTTATTGCCTTTTACCTTTGCTTTGCCATTCTCCAATATAATGTCGTGTCAAATGGGAAAATGAAGATTTTTTAACTGTCTGAGAGAATAAAACCTGCTGCAATGGGTGTAAGTAAACTCTATACTACTATTATACCTGTAATGTTTATTTTAATTATTTATAAATAAAATATACATTTATATTTATATTTATACTTATATTTATAAATATAAGAAAAATGTTATGTTTTATTATATATGTATGTATATATACAAGATACATATGAGGTATATATATATATATATATACCTTTGATGCAGACCTGAGACATGAAGAAATATTTTACTCTGAAGAGATTTTAATGACTCACCTGGGCTTTTAGTGTTTCCCTTGGGAGATTCTTCTGCTTCTTAATGGTACATGTTTCAAAAATAATTTTCTTAGACATTCAAATATCTCCTTCAAGAAATATAACCTTATTGGTATAATATCAACTCCAGCCTATTGTTTGTTTGTTTGAAAATAATATCTTTCACATTGTTACTGGTTTTGATCACATTCCCACCTTGTCATTCTCTAGTCAAACAATAGATGGTTATGTTCTGTTTTTTTTTTTTCTCCAAACTTCTCTTCTATAGACACGTCCTCTACTACTTTCTATTTTTTATATCTCGCCATTCTTCACCAACTACCCAGATGTTTTGGGAAGATATCTTTTCTCTGAAAGTTTGCTTTTTTTTTTTGAAAATAGTAGTAATGGGAATAGCTTCTCCACATAACTGTCAGATTTATCCTGAGAAACGTTTTCCAGTTCAGTGTGTCATTTTGTCTTCCATTTTTCATTTCCCCATCCCCTGCAATTATTTAAAACCATAAACTTTCATGGTTCCACTCCCAGTGTTTTTTTCCTAGAAATATTTGATAATTTTCCTGTATCAAACTTTATTTTATTAGTTCTTCTAGGAAAAAAGCAATTCTAAAATTCTTATGGAACCAAAAAAGAGCCCACATAGTCAAAGCAAGACTAAGCAAAAAGAACAAATCTGGAGGTGTCACATTACCCAACTTCAAACTATACTATAAGGTTACAGTTGCCAAAACAGCCTGGTATTGGTATAAAAATAGGCACATAGACCAATGGAACAGAATAGAGAACCCTGAAATAAAGCCAAATACTTAGAGCCGATTGATCTTTGACAAAGCAAACAAAAACAAAACATAAATTGGGGAACGGACATTCTATTCAACAAATGGTGCTGGGATAATTGGCAAGCCACATGTAGAAGAATGAAACTTGATCCTCATCTCTCATCTTTTACAAAAATCAACTCAGAATGGATCAAGAACTTAAATGTAAGACCTGAAACCATAAAAATTCTAGAAGATAACATTAGAAAACACCTTCTAGACATTGCCTTAGGAAAAGACTTCATGACCACTATCCCAAAAGCAAATGCAGCAAAAACAAAGATAACTAGATGAGACTTAATTAAACCAAAAAACTTCTTCTGCACAGCAAAAGAAATAATCAGCGGAGTAAACAGACAAGTCACAGAGTGGGAGGAAATTTTCGCAGACTATGCATATGACAAAGGACTAATATCCAGAATTTATAAGAAACTCAAACAAATTAGCAAGAAAAAAAGAATCCAATCAAAAAGTGGTCTGAGGACATAAATAGGCAATTCTCAAAAGAAGATATACAAGAGGTCAACAAACACATTAAAAAATGCTCAACATAACTAATGATTAAGGAAACGCAAATCAAGACCACAAAGCAATACTACCTTACTCCTGCAAGAATGGCCATAATCAAAAAATCAAAAAATAATAGATGTTAGTGTGGATGTGGTGAAAAAGGAACACTTTTACACTGCCGGTGGGAATGTAAACTAGTACAACCACTATGGAAAACAGTATGGAGCTTCCTTAAAGAGCTAAAAGTAGATCTACCATTTGATCCAGCAAGCCCACTACTGGGTATCTACTCAGAGGAAACGAAGTCATTATAAGAAAAAGATATTTGCACATGCATGTTTATAGCAAGCAGCACAATTCACAGTCACAAAAATATGGAACTAGCCCAAATGACCATCAATCAAAGAGTGGATAAAGAAAATGTGTATATATATATACACACACACACACACATACATTTTATATACATACACACACACACACACACACACACACACACACACACACATACACCATGGAATACTACTCAGCCAAAATAAGGAATAAAATAATGGCATTTGCAGCAACCAGGATGGAACTCAAACTCAGGAATAGAAAACCAAATATCATATGTTTTTACTTATTGGGAGCTAAGCTATGAGGACGCAAAGGCATAAGAATGATCAGTGGACTTTGGGGACTAAGAGGAAAGGGTGGGAGGGGACTGAGGGATAAAAGACTACGCATTGGTTACAATGTACACTGCTAAGGTGATGGGTGCACCAAAATCCCAGAAATAATCACTAAAAAACTTAGCCATGTAACCAAACACCACTGTTCAAAAACGTATGGAAATAAAAAACAAAAATTTAAAAAACTTCTATTTTACTAGTTCTTAACAATACTTTTAACTTTCCATTTTTATTATCTTACTTGTAATCTACACAGATTTGCCAGTGACCTGAAAATTATATTAATTTATGAAAAGAGCATGAATGGCCGTGTGTGGTGGCTCACGCCTGTAATCCCAGCACTTTGGGAGGCTGAGATGGGCGGATCACCTGAGGTCAGGAGTTCGAGACCAACCTGACCAACATGGAGAAACCCCGTCTCTACTAAAAAAAAAAAATACAAAATCAACCAGGCGTGGTGGTGCATGCCTGTAATCCCAGCTACTCAGGAGGCTGAGGCAGCAGAATCACTTGAACCCAGGGGGCGGAGGTTGCTGGTGAGCCGAGATCGTGCCATTGCACTCCAACCTGGGAAGCAAGAGCGAAACTCCGTCAAAAAAAAAAAAAAAAAAAGAGAGAAAAAGAGTATGAATTAAATTGATTTTAAAACTGTTCCTTTTAGTGTTTACAGAATATCATAGGTTCAATATGATTTCTCACGTTAAAAAAATTGCTTAGATTGAAAATTTCTAGGGTGCAGAGGTTATACATGATGTTAACTTTTAAAAATGGCGTTTATAATAGTCTAATACCTGCGAGGTCAGCTGTCATAGTAGAAAAAATGCTAGGTTAGAATACAGTTCTGCCCTTTTCTGGCAAAAAATGTTATTTTTGCCAAAGTCAAATAATAATCTTGAGTAAAATTCTCATTGCTTATAAGATATAATTTATAATATATATTTATTTAAAGTATATGGATAATATATTATCCTGGAATTTGCTAAATAAAGTGAAATATTTTATAAAATTATGAAGTTCCATAATGTGAAAAACAATGATTTTGATTAATGAAAATAACTTAAATATTATTTCCCCCTGTTATTCTTATTAGTATTTCATTAAATTCTATTTCATTAGCTCTTCTTTTGATTATATCAAAATTTCATTAGTACTCTATATCATATTGCATATGTATTAGTATAGATACATACCTGGTTATTCATTGTGACCTCATTACTCTTAATGATAGTGTGGTTATAGCCGGTAAAATTACTGATACTCTTGGCATTGTCTATTATTTACAGAAATCACCTTGTGTCTTAATTTTATCTACTTGCTTGTTGGATGCTTGTCTTTATGTATTTTTCCAATACTTTGCTCTAGTGCTCTGATGCTGGGCAGCCATGCAAATGTCAGAACTACTTTTTATTGATGTCAGTTTGGAAAGGGGATATCTAAAATAGCATATATTCTCAAAGTTTTGTGAAGTTACAATAAACCTCTTCCCTATTAATATACTACAGGCTTGGTCTCACTTTTTGGGAATTTATGTGGTTGATTCCTGGAAACACTGGAACAAATCTGCCACCTTTAGTGAAAAAATTCAATATCCACAATATCCACAGTCTGAATTTCCTATAAAAGAATGTAGCATGTGATATTTAAAACTTGCCAATTTAAAAATATGTCAGGTGATTGGGCTGTAGTATTTTGAGGAATAAGCATCTGTGGTGAATTTTGGTCTAGATAGAGTCAGATTGCCTGGTTTTAGTTTCTATATGCCATGTAGTATTCGTGGGATTCTGGGCCAGTTGAATAACTTCCCCTGGCCTTGGTATCTTCATATGTAAAATGAAGGTAGAAATTATACCGGTCTTATTTTTTTTAGTGGGAAAGGGAAGGATTAAATTAACAATATTAAGATATTAACAATACTAAAACATGTTAGTGGGTTTAGCACATTATCTAGTACTCTGGGACATCCAGTAAATATTAGTAATTGTCATTTTTGTCATCAAAATCATTAACATCATAGGGTTCTAAGTTTAACTCAGCTTTGAGGACTAACTATGTTTTAACATCTGTAATATATACCAATTTCTTAAATAAATTCTCTAAAACTATTAATCAAGAATGGAAATTGTTTGAGATTACAACACATTTACAAGAAAACCTTTTTAGTGAGTGCCAGAAATGAAGTCTTCTTCAGTTTCAGAATGTTTTTTAGTTAACAAGTGCACATTTAGCATGACTTGAACAAATTGCAAATCGGGTTTCTGTATGCCATTTTGGGAGGATCACATCCAAAATTTATATGTTTTGCAACCAACTTTGCCAGCCAGATCATCATAGAAGAATTTAACTAATCCTTTAATTTTTAAATGCAATAAAATGTCATAAAGTGATAAGAGGAGAAACTTTTAACTGATTGAGCCACAGTCATTTAATTAAGTTCCTTTGAACTAGACTATGAACCTGAATATAGTAGTCAGTGTTCACAATACCCCTTGTAGATTTTATTTTATCAACAACTGTAAGTTTAACTCCTAGTTGATTTAGGCCTTCTTGTTGTTGTTCTTGTTAAATAGCATTTTTGAAAGTGTTTTTCAGTAGCTTAATCATTATATGAACCATCTGCAGTAAAGCAGTATATGGCTTATAATGTTTGATAACAAAAGTTAATTATCATGACTTATCATCATCAATGAGAAGCAGAGACTGGGGACTAAGATGCTATATATAAAGCAATACAGACTACATAAATCAATTTTTAAAAACAGAGTGAATAAGAATAATGTTTTATTATAAAGCAAACTGTAATGAAATAATTTTAAATCAGAATAACTTTATATCGGAAAGCTGGGTTTGATTGCAAATAGTAGAAAACCCAACCAACCATGGCTTAAATAGCTGAGTGTTTATTTTTCATCTGTAAGGAGATGTTCAGAAGCAGGCAGTCAGGCTGATCCATTTGCTCGAAGACTTCATATAAAAGCCCAGACTCCTCTTACCCTCCTTTACCGTCTGTAACACTTGCTTTTCCTAGTTGGGTTCATTGAGATGGCTGCTGCACATTTAGGAATCATTTCAGAGTTATAAGCAGAAAGCAGTTGCCCCTGCTGCTTTCTGCTTATAACTCTGAAATGATGCAACTAAGGACCAACAGGGCTTTCTCCTGGAGAGACTTTGCCATTTTATTCAGAAAAGGACATTGCCTGGGAAATTATCTCTCCATTGCATTGGTCAGAACAACTTCCTCCCACCCCACTGACTCCAACTGGAAGAGTTAAAAAATTGAGTAGTTTTAGTTGTACATATTTTTGATTAAATTAAAGCCTTCTCTTAGTAAGAAATAATGAAATGAAGGAATGGATAATCTGAGAAAAGAGGAAATCCTTGCTCAGCCAAGTTTTAAAAGTTATGTTAATAAAGCCATAAAATGAAAAGGCATTATTTTATATACAATTTCTCAAGCTTAATAATTTAAAAGTCCAAATAATCCAATGAAGATATTTAGTATTTTTCCCATAAAAGCTAACTTAAGTAGGAAAAATTGTGGTAGAGAGTATTAAAATTATTAGGTTTAGTGATTCGGTGTTAACCCATATTGCTTTTTTAATATGAAATAAGGCTAAGGTATAAGTAAAGAAAACCTGCATCAACTTTTTTTTAACTACCAATGAATTTTGCAAATATAAACATTAAACCCCATATAAGGTATTATAGAAACATCAAATTTTATTGTAACCTTAATCATGCTCACATGAGAAGCTCTTTTCTCTCCATTCTTTTTAACATATTCTAGTTTGAATCTCATCATAGATTAAAAATGCCCTTCCAGTAGATGGCTCTTCATCTAAAATATATTGTCAAATCACACCCTGCACTAACCTATAATTACTCCCTATTTGAAGTATGGTGAAATAAACCTACCAAAAATTGAAATCACATTTAAAAAGTAATTTAGCATATTTTTTCTAAAAAGAAGTAAGAATATAATTCATTTAGACTCTATGTTATGATTCTTATAATACTAGAAGAATGCCGAGTACAGAAGGATCATTTAGAGAAGAATATGATTAAATGCCTCTGAGAGTTTGAGGTTAAGGTAGCCTATTCAGATGAAGTGTCATCTCACTAGAATTTTAAAAAGATGAATAGAATTTTAGCCAGCACCAAGAGCAAAGGCTTGAAGGAGTGATACAGTATGGTATGATTTGGGTAACATTACCTGCCCTTCTATGTGAGACAGGGTGTGAGAACTCTGAAATTCTGCCTATCAAAAATAAGAGGTGGAGTTGCCGTATCATGAAGCTATTCAAATGTATTCTTTTGGATTAGCAAAATCCCAAACAATTTTGAAAACTCAAATTTATATGGTGAAATTTTTATGTTAGAATTAGTAGCTTTAGTTTTGTATCATTTTTACACTTTGTACCCAGGTTCCTATGCCCATTTTTCTGTTTTGTGAATAAGAGAATTTATCTAGTTAATTCAAGGAAAATTTTTTTTTCTGAAATGTACAAGTTATGTACATATTTGAGTTGAAATGTACAAGTTAAGTACATATTTGAGTTAAGGCAAATAACTTCTTTGGGTATCTTTTAAATATACATAACTCATGCTTTTTTGTTTATAAATGTAAGGATGGTATCTATGTATTGCTGTCTTATATATTTGTTGTCATATGAAATTACCTTTTCAAATAGGTGATAGGTGAACAGATCTTGCTCTGGAAAAAAAAAGAGAGACACAGTTTTTGTATTCAGTACTTTTTCAAATAAAACAATCTGATTCACTTTTTTTTTTAAGTGGAGGGGATTCCAGGGTAAGCCCATGCATTCTTAGATAAAAAATTGTCCTACCAAATGAAAATAATTCATTTCAGTGGGTCTTTGTAGGGTAAAAAATTATCATCATGTTCTACTGATATGTAATGCTAGTATAGCAATAGTGTATTCATTACGATGTGCCAGGGAAGAGACTAAACATGTTAAAATACACCTTTTGTTTACTCACACCATCTCCATGAGTTAGGCAATATTTCCCCATATTTGTAAATGAGGAAATGTCAGAATAACTTGCCTCTTATAAGTCGAAGTCTCAATTTGAACTTTGACCTGCGTGATATAAGTCAAGGTACTTGCCTGTTAAGTTAAAAAGTACTGGAAATACAATTTATTAATTTTTATCTCCTTATGAAATGCAATTTGTATAGAGTTTTGTAAGAAGTGAGTTTTGCACCTTGCATACGTGTGCATTTTTTATTTCTAAATGTCTTATTTATCCCAGGACAATTTGATTGCTATGGGAATTTGTCACTGTTTCCTAATTAGAATAGCATTTATGGGTTCTTTTATTTTTCACTTGTTATTTACTTTACTTCATGACAGTCAATATTTTTCTTACCCATTGGTGTTTGGATAAATGAAAGACAATTGCAGACTTCAGTGGATTCTTTAGAAACAAACAAACAAAAACATCTTACAGGCTCATATTTTGGAAAAAGACTCAAAAGGCTTGTGACTTCAATCAGTTTTTTTTCCATTGTATTACCACTCAGTTTGAAGTTTTGTGTGGTAAAAAATTATCATCAGGTTCTGCTGATAGGTAATGCTAGTATAGCAATAGTGTATTCATTACAATGTGCCAGGGAAGAGACTAAACATGTTAAAATATACCTTTTGTTTACTCACACCATCTCCATGAGTTGACATCCCAAGTAGTTCACTAGCTGCTCATTTCTATCTTCTTTGCGTTGTTTTGCTAACTGCCTATCAAAATCCAATGTGTAGCTTTGGGCCTGCTGTAAACAATCTGGCAAGATATCATTCAAAATCATGCATTATTTACAGATCACTTGGAAGTACCAGAGATTAATCAAGGATGGAAAGTACAAAAGCACATTTAGCTTTTATCAGTGATTTGTTTTAAAAGTGGAAAATAAATCAGATGTTTAATGCATTTCTAGGAAACAGAAGCCAAGTCTGCCCAGCACAACACTGAAAAAAGCAAACTAATGAAAACTTTAGTGTTGATTTTTGGTTAACCTATTTGTATGTATACATTTTGTTTTATAAAACCTACTCTCCTTTTTACAAACTTAGAGATAAACCAGTCATTTTACTTATGGTAAGAACCCATATTGGGTGTTGAAACAGATTCTATCACTGGCAGATTCTATTTTACTTTTTTTATTACAAAATTATTTTTTAGTGTCTATATTTGAACTAACTACCCTTAAACCTAATTCTCAAGTGAATGCTTTTTTAAATTAACTTACTCTATATTAATTTTAAATTTAAATTTAAAAATCTTAAGAGTCCTACTTCCTGCAAAATTAGCCTGCAGTGTTTTCCTTTTCACTGAGTTACAATGAACATTTATAATAAACAGTGAATGTTGCACTTTGTTTCCATTTTGCCTTGCAAAACAAAAATGAGTTTTCCTAGGAAAATAAAATAAAATATAAAATAAATTTATCTTCCTGCATATTTTCATTAGTTTTAAGTTGAGGCCCTCTTTGGATGAAGGAGGAAGCCTGAGTCAGTGATATCCACTTGCGTTGTCTCAGGTGAATGAATGCTTATATAATAGAAATGTCTATGAAAAATTCCTTCTTGTCTTGAATTGAAAGGTTGAAGCCCCAAAGCTGAAATTACTGGGTAAAAAGTGCTTCATATTATAAGGAGGTGCTAGATACATTCGTGTAGGACTGTCAAAATGATTGAAAAACTGCTTCAGTGACTATTCACCCCCATTGCTAGCCTTGATTTGTGGAAGAATATTGACAAGAATTATTAATGTAGAATGTGTCAGCCTACTGGGGAGTTTGTTATTCTGGGGCATTTCATCATTCTTATCCCATAGAAGATTGAAGAGGAGAAATCCTAGTCACAGTTCCTAGGAGACCTGACATGTGTTTGTTGGTGTTGGGGTTTGGTGTGCCTAAGTGAATATAGACCTCAGGAGCATCCAAGATTTATGAGTCCTGAAACTTACACAATATAAAGAACTCTGTATTACGTTTGCAAATTTTACAAACTTTCACAATGTGAACTTATTTCTAAGGCCTTTTTCAGGGATTTGGAAGAGCCTTATGCAAGGGACCCTGAAGTTTAAATTTCCTTAATTTCAAAATAAATCTACTTCTAACAGAAAAGAATATTTGCATCCCACTTTCATGAAAATTTGCTGAAGATACCTGAGAAGACAGAATTCTGCAAGACTGAAGGCAGATAATGTGTCTAACATTTTAAATGGCAAGGACGCCTTAGTTTGTCATAAGCTAACTGCATTCTGGAGGAAATAGCTGGAAATACTTGTCCTAAGAGGAATTCGCCCAAAAGGACTACTTGCTGGAGGGTAGCACCTCCTCACCTTAAGAAAATCTAGGATGATTCTCCATGGTTAGAATCTGAGAAAGAAGTCATTAGAAATACCGCTCACCCTCTCCTTCATCCTCTGCAAACAGTGAATTAGTGAAGTATCAACCACAATTAAGTGTGAGCCACCTCAAAACAAAACAAAACAAACAACAAAGACCCTATATGTGTCCTATAAAGAAACCAGCATCTGTTGATGGCTAGAATGGAGAGCAAGACAACCAGCCTGTGTTCAACAAGATAGAATGGAGAAGTGCCTGTGTTTCACCCCTCTACTATTAATTCTCATGCCTACTGTTCTGTCCAGTTTTGTAAGAAAGAGAAGGAAAGAGGGTGAGGGAGGAGATGGAGAGAGTGAAAGGTCAGACTACACATCCCTATTGATATAGAATGAAAAAAACATTGAGAGTGAGGTTTGATTTTATAGAGTTTTGAACCACTTAGTAATAAAAGTGAGTTGTAATTATGGGCAAAGATACTGTTCTATACTGAGAAGTTACCTGAACGGCTGAGATGTTGTCAGAGTATTTAAGAATGAGGACTCAACAGAATGAATTGAACGGCAGAAAACAGAGAAAAAGGGAGACATTTTTTCCTCCCACATCAAATTCAGACTGTTCAATAAACAAGTTCCATTTATGTTTAGTCAAAAGTCAAGTGATAGTGACGGCTTTAGCTATCTAGACTTTCCACTCCCCTTGTAGGCCTGTGTGTGTGTGTGTGTGTGTGTGTGTGTGTGTTTGAGACGGAGTCTCGCTTTGTCGCCCAGGCGGGAGTGCAGGGGCGCGATCTCGGCTCACTGCAAGCTCCGCCTCCCAGGTTCACACCATTCTCCTGCCTCACCCTCCTGAGTAGCTGGGACTACAGGGGCCCGCCACCATGCCTGGCTACTTTTTTTTTTTTCTTTCTTTCTTTTTTTTTTTTTGTATTTTTAGTAGAGACTAGGTTTTACCGCGTTAGCCAGGATGGTCTGGATTTCCTGACCTCGTGATCCGTCCGCCTCGGCATCCCAAAGTGTTGGGATTACAGGCGTGAGCCACGGAGCCCGGCCATAGGCCTGTTTCTTATTCTATATTCCTGTTAATGTAAACCTCCTGAGATTGGAAGACAATCAGTTTTACAGGGTAAGAATTGTTTTAATTATGTGGCAGCTTTTCTCCAAACATGAAGAGAAACATTAGAAATACGTTTAATAAAATTCTCTATTATTTTGTTTTCTTTCAGTTAATATAATTTTCTCGACTTATTGATGTTAGTACAAAACGTTTTTGATTATTAAGAAGTCCAGATGTCCAATTTAAAAATGGAACTAGACATACATAGAGGCATTAACAATTGTTCTGAAATGTAGTTGGTCCTTTATATGTTATCTTAGATGACTTCATTTAATTACTATTTTAATATTTATTTTCTGCAGAATATTCCACATTTTTGAAGAAATACATTGGAAATCTTTCACTTCTCCTGCCCTATAGTTTTCAAAGCAAAAGAAAACTGAGTAATCTTGATTTTGAGTGAGTGACATGCCTTGCACTGTTTCATAGAAAATTGTTATGGCTTGGATTTAAAAAATTATCTCTATTCTTCTTATTTGATACATTAAAATCTGTAATAAGTTCCATTTTTAGTTTTAAGTTATAATTTCTACTGCTAAGGAGAGACTACTCTGTCTCTATTAAATTCCTAGGCCAGCGTGTAAAATTTCTTGTGGCTTTCCTTTCTGGAAACTTGCAATGTCTTCTTAATTATTCTTGGAGTTTCTGTTTCCTGTGCTCCTCTTTCCTCTCTTGTCATTGTAAATTATATACAGTTTTTCTAAGTTTGTCATACATTGATTGGTATAACAAGTCACAAACTTAATCATTGCAGCTCTTATTGTGGGTCATTTTAATATTTAGAAACTGAGCCTACTTTAATACTAAGAGACACTCAAGGAAACAGAATTATGTGCCCTTTTGCCATTGCATCTTGCCCTTTTAGAGTGGAAGAGAGTGACAGGAGTCACTAGTTCTAAAAAAAAAAAAAAAAAAAAAAAAAAAAAAAAAAAAAAAACCTAAACAAAAACAAACCTGACACTGTGACACTGGACTCTGCTTGTGGCCCCCGATTTGACTTATGCTAAAACAACAAAAACAAAAACAAACCTGACATTGGATTCTGCCTGTGGTCACCCTGAATTAACTTATTCTTACCAACTCAGAGGGTTTTACAATGTATATATGCAATGAAGCAACAGAACTCGTAAAGAGCAACGAATGTGGGGAGAAAAGAACAGACTCTTATCTTTAAAAGTATATATATGAAAGAAAAACAAATCCAAAATTCCATGCCTTCAAAGATGGAGTAACAGGGACAAAGTGTACTCTTCTACCTGAAACAACTGAGCAAAACATATTGAACACCAGTTTTCAGGACAATTGGATGTCACACGAGGAAGTCCAGTGATTCCTGAGAGACAAGAAACAAATGAGGTAAGACCTAAAACTGCCCCGGCTTACTGCTTATACTTTTTTCCAGACTGTGGTGCAGGGAGGGGAACCCAGGTAAAGCATAGAGATGTCCTTGAGTTGAGGAGAACTTGGAATCTGGAGAGGTCATCATAGTGGCTAGAGTTTACAGGCAAAACATCAGGGAGGGGAGAGCTGCAACAAAGAAATAACTCTGGACATCTACAAAGATCTATAGTCTTCACCTGGGGACTGATCAGCTCATGTCCATGAATGAGGACACCACCAGAGGTGAGGAGGAACCACTCAAAGGGAGTAGAGGTCATGTGCTGGAAATCAGGCAAGGCCAGGGAAAGTTCTTGTTCACCCAGACAGAGAAGAAAACCTCATAATTTTGGGACGTTGTGTAGAATACGCAGGCAGGTTTTGTGTCAGTATTGGGGCAAAATTATCTCTAGATTGAAGTTTGTTCTAGATCTGCTTAAAAAGGTTTAAAAGTAAGATTTGAAAAAGTGAAACTGTTTACAGATAAATATGCTCAGAACAAAACTCAAAAATATTTATGGAAATACAAAAATATTTAGTACCTAACAATGTAAAGTTCACAGTTTCTGTCATCCAATAAAGCAAATTTCACAATTTCTGGCATCCAATTAAAAGTAACCGGCATTCAAAGAAGCAGGAAAATATGATCCACGAGGAGGAGAAAAATCAATCCAGGACATTAAGACAGTTATTAAAACTATATTCCTTATGTGCATAAAGCTAGAGGAAGGACTGAACCAGTAGAGATACATAGAAATATTGAAAATACTCCAACCAAGCTTCTAGACATGAAAACTATAATGTTGGAGATGAAAAATAAACTGTATGGAATTAATGGCAAATTAAACATTGCAGAAGGAAAGACTGGTGAATTTGAAGACATGGTAATGGAGACTATTCAAAATGAAACACAGAATTTTTTTTCTTAAAGGGACATCAGTCAGGTGGGGGTTATCTTAAAGGTGAAGAGTGGGGAGACGAAATAGTTGAAGAAACAGTGGCCACAAATTTTCCAAATTTAATGAAAACTAAAACTCCATGTACATATGTATTCAAGAAGCTCAATAAATCTCAAGGAGGCAAAAGAAAGAAAACTACATTAAGACATACCATGATTAAATTCGTTAAAATTAGTGATAGTACTCCATTTTGTATATGTACCACATTTTCTTTATCCATTCATCTGTTGATGGACACTTATTTTGCTTCCAAATCTTAGCCATTATAAACAGTGCTGAAACATAGAATGAGATCCAGTCATTTGCAACAACATGGATGGAAACGGAGATCATTGTGTTAAGTGAAACGAGCCAGGCACAGAAAGACAAACATTGCATGTTCTCATTTATTTGTGGGATCTAATATTCAAAACAATTGAACTCAAGGAGATAGAGAGCAGAACGATAGTCACCAGAGGCTGGGAAGGGAGGTGGGGAGATGGGGATTATTAATGGGTACAAAAAAGTAATTAAAGACTGAATAACACTTATTGTTTGGTAGCACAATAGGATGACTACAGTCAATAATAACTTAATTGCACATTTTAAAATAATTTAATGCCTGTAACTGAATTGTTTGTAACTCAAAGAATAAATGCCCAAGGGGATGGATACCCCATTCTCTATGATGTGCTTATTTCACATTGAATCCTATATCAAAACATCTCATGTACCCCATAAATATATACACCTACTATGTAGCCACAAAAATTAAAAACTATATACTACAAAAAATAAAAATTAAAAATTAAATTAGTGTAGACAATCTTAAATGTAACTGGAGAAAAAAAGACACGTAAGTATAGAATAAAGGATGACATCCGATTATCCTCAAAATGAATGCAAGACAGAAGACGGTGGAAAAATATCTTTAAAATACTGAAAGGGAGAAAAGAAGCCAAGCTAGACTGCTGTAAACAGCAAGGACTATCTTTCAAAAAAAGAAGGTGCAATTAAGCAATTTTTTTTTCACACATACAAAATTGAAATAATCACCAAAAGCTCCACATCGTGAAAAATTGTTAAAAGAAGTCCTTCAGGAGGAGAAAAATAGTACCAGATGAAGTGAAGAACATGGAAATGGTGACTATATTAGTAAGTATCTTAGAAACCCACCCAAAGTTCTTACTTTGAATTACTTCATTATTGTTAATGCAATACTTATTTTAAAAACTAGAAAGCAGAAATCATAAATTATATAATTAAGAAAAAATAACTTTCAGACTCGTAATCTTCTAAAGTTACTTTTGTGGGGGTGGGTAGATCCTCAGGTGCTGTTTTTATACTTTTTAGTATAAGGGAGTTTATAAAATCTGTAGCATGTGGGAGTATTAACCTATTATACTATTTCCTATGCAAAAAGAGGTCTTAAATTACTACAGAGAACTAAGTGTTATTTTTATACGATAACCACTGTACCAGCTTCTGAGAAAATTTTCAACTGTGTCAAAAATTTCACTTTGTACAGAGCACAAGATATTTTTTCTTTCATGTCCTCATTCCCACATAAAGAGTTCAAGTTCCCAGTCTCTATTTAAGATTCTTAGAATAAGTGTCCAGTTGAATTTTCCATGAGTGATGAGTTGGTGCTTTCACACAATGGTTGGTTACTCTCTTTTTCTCGTCTTTCTCCTGTCATTTGCCTTCCTTATTACCACTTGGGGAAGGACCATCCATCCTTCTTCACCTTCGTTTTCATGTAGCTATAATTTCCTACTCCCCAGAGACTCCCAACCTTCATCCTATCTTGGCTTTTGGAACAGAACAACTCAAGCATACATCTGAGTCTTTCAAATACTTCTTCTATGCCCAGAGGCTTGAGGCTTCTTTGAGTCATTGTTTTAATATGGGCAGGGGAAAAGAAAATTAGCTCACAAACGGGAGTTCCCTTCAGATTACAGAATGAGAAGTGTGCACAAAATGTATACAGAAGAGTACTCAGGCTAATACTTCAAGATATAGCCCACCAAATATGTTTTGACAAATGTGCCTTTTCTGCCTTTATTTCACTATTTGGCAAATAACTCAGTCTTTTCATATGTGTTCAGCAACGAATATGGCATTGTATCCTGTGGGGACATATATGAGTTTTCCTCTCTGTAAATAGAAACGAGAAGCAGTGGGGTATAGAAATGGAAAGGACTGACTGATGAGAAGAAAATCTCTTTATATATTTGCCTTAGAGTAAAATGAAACAAAGTAAACATAAACTCCCCAGGTAATAGTAGTAATTATAGATTATTTTTCATTTTTAATGCTGGATGTTACCTTTGAGTTAACAATTTTTGTTATCACATGCTTGTCAGTGTATTGTTAAAAAAGACATAGAGATTTCCTTATTGTTTTTCTTCAACTCTGCATTGGGATTGGAAACTAATTTTTAGTAATGGCTTCTGTTATTATTTCCTTGATTGATCTTATGTTCCCTGTTGTTGCCAGTAATTAAAAAGGTACCTGCTGGTCTCTTAGGAACTTGTTCAGTAGAGTACAGATTTTACCTCCCATCCCACAGACCAGTATGTTCATTTCTGTTAGTAGAATTTTAGTAGCGTAACTATTTAATGGAAGCCATTCTTCATTAAGGAGGGAGTTTTGTTTCTTCAATAATATCTCATTGCCATTGTGGTGACTGTTGCCTTTTTAGAGAGAAATTATAGGACTCTGATGTCACGCCCTAGATGAGACTTTCCAGTTTTAGCATCTGTCCCCTTGGCATGTTTCCTGGTGTTGACAGTTGGGTAAGAAGACACCCCTGGGTTTTATAAAGTCCTCCTGCTACAGATGGTAGGCTTTTGCTTTTAAAGAGTCTGTTTTAGCACTGACTCTCTTTTTAATCTCCTTTCTATATTTTTTGGTGAAAGTTTTATATAATCAAAAAAATGACAATTCTTGCATAGAAAATCAGTACAAAATCATTTTAATGTGGTACATGAGATGAAATCAAAACCACAAGTTTTGGATTGTCAGAATCTACCAGTTCTAGCTCTGTACCTGACTTGTCAGATAGAAAATAATGCAAATTGCAAATAAGAGCAGTACCAAGCACTTTAGTCACCTTCCTTGAGTGTTTGTACTGGGTACCAAATAGCTGAATATTTCACTCAGCACAATATAGGTTTCTAGAGAATCTTATAACTGGAATTAATGTTGAGAGAATATTCAGTCTGAGTTTCTGGGAATCACTCTATGTATAGTTTCTCAGAAACACAGCTTTTAATAATCTTAGGAAATATTTATTGAGAAATTGTCAGATGCTTGTCTTTAAGTGTTTTTATAGATTATTAAGCCTCACATCACCTTATGAGATATAAACTATTATTACGTTTTACATTAGATGAATCTGATTGTAAGAAAGATTAAGTAACTTATTCAAAGTCACACAGCTAGTTAATGGTGCATCTGAGATATGAACCCTTGCAGTCTGACCACAGACCACATTCTGATAACTGCTTATCTCCAGGATAAACTATAAGCCCCCTTTTGACCAACATTTCCCTGATGAGTTTAATTCAAACTACCTTTTAAACAAAAATATGTTTTTGTTAACTTTGATATGTCATTTTATAGTGTTGCATTTTGATGAATTTTTTTTTTTCATTTAGGCTTTTTGTTTTGGTCTTCCTTAAAATGATTGACAGAGAATCGATTGTGTTAAGAATTATCAGAATCAAATGTTTTATTGTTTTTGGGATGTGGTCATTTCTTCAGTCAAATCCTCTGCTTATGGAAGTAGGTAAAATCATATGAAAATCTAAATAAAATGAATTTACAATAATTATCTGGAAAATCGTGGCTGAAAACAGAATTTAGAAGATTGACTTGAGGTTTATGATGGCAGATTAAACATGTGAGTTTAGTTCCCCTCATTCTCCAAATTTCTTTGAAATGACAGAGAAATATATATGCAAAGAAATGAGTCTATAACAATCCCAGGAAGCAGAAAAGAATACATACAATCATTGATGTAGCTAAGACATTTTGATGAATTTTGTAGTTTTCAGCGTACAAATCCTGTATTTTTTGTGGTAAAATAAACATAAAATTTACATCTTAACTATTTAAAATATACAATTCTGTAGTATTAAACACATTCATAATGTCGTGCAATCGTCACTATCATCCCTCTCTATAATTCTTTTCATCTTAAAACTGAAGCTCTGTACCTGTTAAACAATAACTCCTCATTCTCTCAGACATGCTCAGTCCCTGGAAACCACCATTTGACTTTCTATCCCTATTATTTTAACTACTCTAAGTACCTCATCTAAGTGGAATCATATAATATTTGTCTTTTTATAATTGACTTATTTTACCTACCATAATGTCCTTAAGATTTATTCATGTTGTAGCATGTGTCAGAATTGTCTTCCATTTTAAGGCTGAGTAATATTCCATTGTATGTCTATACCACATTTTGCTTGTCTGTTGATAGGTACTTGCATTGCTTCCATGTTTTAGCTAATGTGAATACTGCTGTAGTGAACATGGGTGTACACATATCTCTTTAAGACCCTGCTTTCAGGTCTTTTGGGTGTATACTCAGAAGTAAAATTGCCAGGTCATATGGTAATTTTATTCTAAATTTTTGGAGGAACCACCATAGTCCTCCACAGCAGCTATGCCCTTTTATATTCCCATCAACAGTGCAGAAGGGTTAAAATTCCTCTACGTGTTCACCAGCACTTGTTATTGTCTGTTTTGATACTAGCCATCCTAATTGATCTGAGGTGGTATGTCATTATTGTTTTGGTTTGGAGTTCACTGATGATGACTGATACTGAGCATCGTTTCATGCTTATTGGCCATTTGTTTATTTTCTTTGGAAAAAATGTCTATTCAAGTTCTTTGCTCATGTTTGAATTGGGTTGTTTGTTTTTTAATAGTTGAGTTTTAGGAATTCTCTCTATACATCAGATGTCAATTCTTTATCAGATATATGATTTGCAAATATTTTCTTTCATTCTGTGGGTGGCCTTTTTACTTTATTGATAGTGTCTTTTGAAGCAAAAAAAATTAAGTTTTCATTAAGTCCAATTTGTCTTTTATTTTAGTTATCTTTACCTTTTGTATCATAGCCAAAAAATCAATGGCCAATCAATGTTGTAAGCTATTGCCATGTGTTTTCTTCTAGGAGTTTTATGGTTTTAATTCTTACATATAGGTCTTTGATTCATTTTGATTATTTTTTGTGTATGGTGTTATATAAAATTCAACTTCATTCTTTTACATGTGGATATCAGGTTTTCTTAGCACCACTTGTAGCAAAGACTGTCCTTTCCCTCATTAAATGGTCTTGACATCTTTGTCAAAAATTATTTGACCATATACATAAGAGTTTATTTCTGGGCTCTTTATTCTATTCCATTGGTCTATATATCTGTATATACCAGTACCACACTGTTTTTATTACTGTAGCTTTATAGTAAATTTTAAAATCAGGAAATATGAGTCTTCCATCAATTGTTTTGGCTATTTGGGGTCTCTTGAAATTCCAAATGAATTTTAAGATGAGTTTTTCTATTTCTTCAAAAAATGTCATCGAGGTCTTGATAGGGATTGGATAGAATCTGTCAACAGTTTTGAGTAGTATTGACATCTTAACAATATTGTCTTCCAGTCTATGAAGATGGGATGTCTTTCTGTTTATTTATATCTTCTTTATTCTTTCAGTCATGTTTTGTAATTGTATACATTTTTTCAGATTTACTTTTAAGTATATTCTTTTGAGTAGTTATACATGCTGTATTTTTTTTTGTTTTAGTGTCTATATGCTCATTCATTGCAAGTGTATAGAAATAAAACTGATTTTTTTAATGTTTATCTTATATTTGTAAACTTGCTGATCTTACATATTGTTCCAAGAGGTTTTGTATTTAAAGGTTGCTATTTTTTTTACAAAGAAAATCATGCAATCTCCAAAAAAGCAGTTTTATTTTTCTCTTTTCAACATGAACACATTTTCTGTTTTTGTTTTTGTTTTTTTTCTTCCCATAATGTGGAGTCTTGAACTTCCAGCACTATGTTGAGTAAGAGTGATAGATGTGGACATTCTTGCCTTATTCTCTATCTTAAAAAGCAGCTTTCAATCTTTTAATATTAAATATAATATTACATATGGTTTCTGTAGACATTCTTTATAAAGTTGAGAAAATGCCTGAGTATTCCTATTTTCTATATGTTTTTATTATGAATGGATATTGAATTCTGTTAAATATTAGTACTATTTCTGCATCAGCTGAAATGATTCTGTAATGTTTCTCTTCACTTAGTTAATATTGCAGATTAAATTGATTGATTTTGAGTATTGAACCAGCTTTGCAAACCTGGAATAATAAACCCTACTTGGTTATGATGTATAGTTCTTTTTATATGTTGCTGAATTCTATTTGCTTATATTTGTTGGAAACTTTTATAGCTAAATTCATGAGGGATATTGAGGTGTGGTTTTCTTTTTTATACTGATTGTGTCTGCTTTTGGTATCAGGGTAATACTAGCTTCAAAAATGAACTGAGTAGACTTGTTTTTTTGGAAGGTATTGTTTATAACTAGTGTTAATTCTTCCTTAAATGTTTTATAAAACATTTCACTCAAAAGTGAAATTAGCCTGAAGTTTATATTTGGGCAATTTTTAATTAGAAATTCAATTTCTTTATGGCTATATGACTATTCAGATGTTCTATTTCATATTGTATTTTGGTAGTACATTTTTTTAAGGAATTAGTGCATTTCCTCTAGGTTGTCAAACTTATATATGTAGAGTTGTATATTGTATTCCCTTGTTAACGTTTAGATGTCTGCATTGTCTATAGTGATATCCTCTGTTTCATTGCTGATATTGGTAGTTTGCATCTTCTCTCTTTCTTTGCTAAAGGTTTATCAATTTTATGGATCATTTCCAACAACCAGGTACATGTCACATTGATTTTTTAGTTGTTATTCTGTTTTTAATTTTATTGATTTTGCTCTTGTCTTTATTATTTCTTTCCATCTGCTTGCTTTGGATTTATATAGTGCTATAAGTTTCCATCTCAGCACTGCTTTAACTGTGTTGCTCTAATTTAAATATGTTGTATTTTCATTTTAATGCAGTTTAAGGTATTTTTTATTTTCCTTGATATTTCTTCTTTGACCCACGGACTATTTAGAAGTATGTTGTTTGGTTTCTGTTTGGAAATTTTTCTGTAATCTTTCTGTCTCTGGTTTCTAGTTTGATTCCATTGTGTTCAGGGAACACACTCTACCTCATTTAAAACCTCTTACATTTGCTGAGGCTTGTTCTATGGTCCAGTATAGGCCCTATCTTGATACATGCTATGTTGGTACTTGAAATAAACATGTATTTGATGTTAATTGGTGGAATGTTTTTTGTGAATTAGATCCTATTGGTTTATGGTGTCTGGAGTTCTTCTATATCCTTACTAGGTTTTTGTGTAATTGTTTTATCAATTGTGGAAAGACAGGTGCAAAAGTCTTTAACTATTGCTGACAATTAGTATATTTCTTCTTTCATTTCCGTTATATTTTATTTCACACATTTTTAAATCTCTGCTTTTAGTGTGTACACATTTAGGATTGCTATATCTTCTTGATGGATTGACTCTTTCATCATTATTTAATATACTTCTCTGTCCTTGGTAATTTTTATTTCTGTTGTTGTGTTTTTCAGTCTAAAATTTCCATTTGCTTCATTTTTATATTTTGCATTTCTTTGTTGCCACTATTTTGCCATTGTTTTCAAATGTGATTACAATTGCTCATTAAAGCATTTTTAGAATGTCTGCTTTAAAATTTTTTTCCAGAGAAGTCTCACACTTTTGGCATCTTCATTTGGCCATCTATTGATTGTCTTTAACATTTATCTTCATGGTTCTTGGAATAACTAGAGATTTTCAGTTGAAACCTGGACATTAATTGAAACTTGATCTTATCTAAATTTTCTGGTTTAGCTGGCTTCCTTTCATACTACTTGAACAGAGAAAGGTGAAGTACCACATTGTAACTGCCAGTTGTAGATAGAAGTTCAGATTCCCACTCAGCCGTCATTGATATCCTAGCTTTCTTACTGCTAGGCAGGGGTTGAGTACTGGCCTCCTGCTAGGTCTCCATTCCCTGTCTGGGAGGTGTAGAAATGCCACACTACTGTTCCCCAGGTAGCGACCCCTGAGACATCAAGACCAACTCCTCCTCTTCCTCTCCTTTCTCAGCTTATTCAACTTGAACATGACAAGAATGAATACCTTTATGATGACCCACTTCTACTTAATGAATAGTAAATAGATTTTCTCTTCCTCGTGATGGTTTTTTAATAATATTTTCCTTTCTCCAGATTACTTTATTATAATAATTCAATATATAAACATATAACATTAAAATATTTGTTAATTGACTGTTAAAGTTATTGATAAGGTTTCCGGTCAATGGTAGAGTGGTTAAGTTTTGGAAAGTCAAAAGTTGTATGTAAACTTGTGCCTGCATGGTAAGTTGGCACCCCTAGCCCCCACATTGTTTAAGGGTGAACTGTATAACCTATGTACATCCTCCTATATACTTTAAATCATCTCTAGATTACTTATAATACCTAGTATAAAATAAAGGCAATGTAAATAGGTGTTATACTATATTGATTTTTATTTATGTTATTTTTATTATTGTACTGTTATTTTTACAAATATTTTCTATCTGAGGTTGGTTGAATCCATGTATGCAGAACTTGTCTATATGGAGGGTCAACTGTATGTGTGTGTGCGTATACACAGATATATATATATATATATATATGTATATATGTGTATATATATGTGTGTGTGTGTGTGTGTGTGTTTTCAAATATTTCAAGATATTTCAATTTTGAAATTTATTTGGAAAAAGAATCACAGGGAGCACAAGAAAATTCATAAAGTCTTTTTAAAACTACATTGGAAATTAATAGGCACCAAACTCTTCTACTTGGAGGTTTTCTTTCTATAACTTCCTGGAAAATGATTTGTGAAATATATTCACTATGTCATTACATCATAATAATATGGACAATGTTATTATCTAAATTAGCAATAATAGCTCATTGCTTGAATCTTACCAATAATATCTAGTCTGCCTCTTGTAAAATGACAGCAAGAACTTCAAACAGGAAAACTACTTCTTACTGTTGCTGTTGAAAGAACAGGGAAGTCCCATTACTTTTGTACAACAGGTAGCACATCTCAAACTTACAGTACATTTTAGTTGTATAAAGCACTTGAGAGTTGTGTTTTATAGTTACTAAGAAGTGAATTATTTTCAGTTCATTTCTTACTTAGTGACTATAGATAATAGTTTATAATTTGCCTCTCTAAGGAAGTCAGTATTATACTTGTCATAAAACATACACCCTTTAAGCTATTAACAATTACTCCTTTTACTCGTATGTCAGTATGTTTGGGGCTATGGTCCCTAATTCTTGTAGAATTATTTGTAAAGTAGAAGAGTTGTAAGAGATAAGATTAAAGGGTTTTTGAGGGGGAAATTGAAAAGGTTTAATTAACATTCTACTTCATTTTTAAACTTTTTGCTTATATACATATTTATAAAACTTATATAACAAAGTATATTTTTAAGAAAAAAACTAGTGCCCAGGATTTTTTTGTTAGTGTGGACCCATTAAGGAAGAGTGATACTAATCTGTATTCTCTCCCTTTCCAGGTAGGCAGGGGTGGGGAATAGCCTTAATGTTTTTACAAGTCTGAGCTCTCCTTATCTTACCCCCATCTCCATTATAAGTAAACGGCTTTGTGATTTCATTCCTATTCCAGAATAGAGAAAGGAGAGGTTATTGCTTTAATTTGAAAAAGACAAATAGCCCTGCATGGAGTTAATTTCCCAAGAGAAATGAAATTAGAGTTGTAGGTTTGGAAGTGGAAAAACCTTCAGCCTAAAACTTATAGAAACCCAGATAAAGGCCTGTTGTTTGATAGGTGATGTATGGCTCCTGGGAGCTGAATACCAGGGACCTTGGTTTGGGGAAATAAGGTGGAAGATTCCAGTGGCCAAGGCAGAAAAATAGTCAATTTTTGGTCAACTGCATGGGCTTGGTCAGGAAGCATCCTGACCAGTTCTTACCAAACCCAATGTTCTTCCTCAAGTTTTCTGGATAAAGTATGCCGCTTTGGGAATCTAATAAAACCCTAGAACCCTAGAGATTGTTGAGGCCCCCTGCCTCCATCTCCCATCCCAAAATATAATGCATGACTAGTTTAAAATTTTCTGTCAACCCTGTGTGACAAGAAGAAATAAACCATATTAGATTATTTTTAATTTTTTGAAAAGTTATGAAATGACTTTTCTTTCACTTGAATGCCATTCATGGAACAAATTCATACCTAAATAAACTGACTAAATAACACTCTTTTTATAAAAGAAATGTGACTTTCATTTTAAAGTTAACTTAAAATCACTTGATTTATTTCCTTCTCTCTTTCATGTGCTAGGGATATAGTGGCCTTTCAAATAAAACTTGCAAAAAAATAAAAATACATGGGCATATTGAAGGTACGATAGTGCTCCTTCCTTGTTCCCTTTAATAAACGAAAAGTAGAAAATTATGTGTGGAGTTTCTGTTAAAAACTAGGTTTTCCTTTCAAACTGCTATGGAGTGTGATGTCATCTAGTGAGAGCAAGTGAGGAAGCAATTCTACATGACATTTCTGGGATGCCCAGTGCCCTTCGTCCTGTGCCTTGGAACCAAACTCATCCAATTGTAAGATATCTAGTTTAAAATAAATATGAGTGAACTGAACACTATCAGTCATACATCAATTGACAGATTACTTAGAAACCTATGCTTTTCTTCATTGAGTTGTATTATGAAAATAGAGTAAGTAATGACTTACATCCTCAAGAAAGAGTGATAAAATTCAAATGTTTCTTTTAAGTAGAGCTGTCAGTGAGAAGACAGATCAACATACTAGAAAACACAAATCGTTTCACTTGTCTAATCTTTGGAGATCAGACATTTGGTAAATGTACTACTGATACGGACATATTAACAGTTATCTGTCAGTTACATGACTTTTCCCTCACTTCACAGTGAAAAATGAAGTGGCTTGCAAGGCACTTTGCAAGTTTCAGCTGACCTGACTTATTGCAATGGAGAACTACCAATATTTTTATTCTCCAACATCAGCAGATATTATTCCCATTTAATTTTTAAAAGTTACCAGATCTGCTGTGTACTGAGAATCATTACTTTTGTTTTTGTTTGGAATGGGCAGTGGTGGAGTGAACTGAGCCTATGCAGAAGTGAAGGTGTTCTTATAGAAGCCATTAATTTGTTATAAATTATCATTTAGAAATTTAGCCACTGAACACTAAGTAATAGATTCATTGACAAGTAAGCGACCTTTCAAATGCATTTAGATGATACCAAGAGACCCCCCTCAAAATTAATTAAAGCTTTCTGAGATATGTGTATTTATAGCAGGCTCATCTACATGTCTGTGGAAAAGTAGGATATGCTCAAAAGTTTTAGCAGATCTGCTTCGTTATGGTTCCTGCAGGTAGTCAGTTTGCCAGTCCTTAGGATGGTAATCTAGTTCTCTGTCCAACTCAACATTTAGCAGGCATGTTGTGGGCAAATGAGCAAAAGATTTTTTTCTTGCATGTGATTGTGATAATTTTGCATAGGCATAACTTGAAATTTTGAACTCTGTGAATATGTAGCCCATGTCAGAGGGCTGTACTGCAAGATCATGCATTTTGCGCTTTCCTTTATTTTAAAATGTGTTTGGCTTCTGGTTCGATCACATAGTTTTATGACCTTGCCAAAGTAACATAAATTTCCTCACACTCATTTTCCCTTATCTGTAAAGTGGGAACAGATTATTACTGAGGGAGTCGTAGTGAGTGCATATATGTAAATTTTTTCTTTTTCTTTTCTTTTTTCTTGGCCCCTTTCCTCCATCTTTGAAGACAGCCATGGAAGTCAAGTTTTCCTCATGTCTTGGCTCTCTGACATCCTTTCTGTCTCTTCCTCTGTGTGTAAGGACTCATGTGATTAGATGGGACCCACCTGAATAATTCATAACAATCTCCCTATCTCCAAACTAGCTGATTAGTGACCATAACCACCGAAATAAATGCTTATTAATTTACCTTTGTATGGACTCAAAACTGAAAATCATGCCTAAAATAGTAGTTTATTGTAAATGTCTTGTAGAAGAAAGCCTAGTGAATAGCAATAAAGCAAGTATGTCCTCTTATTAAGGTGTTGCATTTCCAGAAGTTATATTTTTTCTCATATTTCTCCTATTGAACAATATTAAAGAATAGATTATGACTATTATGTGCAACATATAAATGAAATAAGAGCTTCCTTATGTTTTATTTGTACACAATTATATTATACAGCTATAATTAATTAAGTGATTAACTGACAAAGACTTCATTTTAGTTTCAGTATCTATAGGGTTAGGTTATAAACTTTGCTAATTTGTAATAGTATTATGCTACTAATTGTTGCTAATATAATTAAAATATCTGTACTGAAGAAATTTTAGACACAACTAATATATATAAATTATGGAACTTTTAAACATTTAACAAGTTATGTTGTTCCCTAATGCAACGGTAACTTATTCCAAAACTGATTAGAATTCTATTTCTATAACTTCTATAAATTCTTATCTTGAAATTATATTATTTATGAGATAGCTTCTGAACAGCATAATTTTATTGCTATCAGGCTAGCATAAACAAATAGAAAAATACATAAGCAACAACAATAAAAACCTTACAGTATTGATTTATTATCGTAGCTGCTTGTGCCTTTCATACAATTTTTTCACCGTCCAGAACTAATTTAATCTATGGCTTGGATTTGTCCTTGTGGATTTGTGATTAACCAGCAACTTTTGCCATTTTGTTTTCATTGCAACTCTTCCTTGTATAGACCAAAATGAACAAAGGTGTAAGTTTTGAGCCTCAAATAACAGTGAAAATTCTCATTATTTATATTTTCTAGTCAAAAATAAGTATGTTTCACTTTTTTCCTTGGTGGTAGATAATTATTTTTCTCCAGAAAAACTGAAAATTTGTATTTGTGATTTGGAAAAACTGAGTTTTGCATATTATCATTGTAATAGCAAAACACTTCGTTATCTATATTGCTTTATAATAATAACTTAAGGGTGAGGGATAAAAGACTACAAATCAGGTTCGGTGTATACTTCTCGGGTGATGGGTGCACCAAAATCTCACAAATTACCCCTAAAGAACTTACTCATGTAACCAAATACCACCTATTCCCCAAAAACCTATGGAAATAAAAAAATTAAAAATCATAAGGTAGATGAATTTATTTTACTGATATTTTTCTAATTATTTGAAATGGAAGTTTAGCTTATTGACTTTTGGCCTATGTTTTTAATATATGCTATACATTTTCTTCTAAGTTGCAAATTTCTCTCTAAGGAAAGCTTTAGCTATATCTCATAAATTTGAATAATATAGTATTTCATTACATATCAAAATAATTTCTAATTTTTATTTCATTTTTGAACCAGGATATTTAGTACTTTATTTCATAATTTGCCAAGTATGTGACATTTCAAATTCAGCTTTATTATTAATATCTAGTTTAGTTGCTTTATAGACACAGGATATGTCCTATATGATCTGCATCCATTCACGTATCCATTTTTATTATGTGTGCCTTTCTGTGTATTTATTACATTTCACCTAAAAGGCTGAAAGGTTAAAGCAGTCTCTCATAATATGTAATACAATTAAATAATTATATCCTCTAGAAAGAAAGGTTTTATTTATTTCTATTATAGTAGTTTGTTAGGGCTGTCTTAATAAAGTACCGAACAAGGTGGCTTAAGAAATAGAAATTTGTTTTTTGACACTTCTGGAGGCTTGAAGCCCAAGATCAAGGAGTCAGTAGGGCTGATTTCTTCTGAGGCCTCTGCTTGGCTTATTGATGGACTCTTCTCCAAGTGTCTTCACATACTTTTCCTTCTGTGTTTGTGTGCAACCTAATCTTCTCTTTTTATAAAGACAACAGTCATATTGGATTAGGGCACCCTAATTACTTCATTTTAACTGCAGTACCACCTCTTTAAAGACTCCTTTGCCAATACAGTCACATTCTGAGGAATTGGGGGTTAGAGTTTTAACACATGAATTTTGGAAGGACACAATTCACACCATAACACCAATTAAAATTACTTTTTACTCATTAAAGGCAATGTAACTTCCTTTATTTTCATTACAAAGTAATTTCCTTTTATACATTTCCATACAAATAAAATAGCTGGATGTTATCTTAAGTGCTGAAAAATATATTCTTGAATATATAAACATTTTGGTGTACTCAAACTGAGATTGTTTTTCTTTAGAAAGTGCTATTGTCATAATAAAAGTAATACAACAAAAAAAATAGTAGTTTTCCTTTGCAATAGCAATAGTCAACTAGGAAATGTGATGGAAAAAAATCAAATCCATTCATAATAACAACATAAACTACCATATAAACTACAAAATACAGATGAATATATCTAAGAAAGAATGTGAAAGATAGACAAAATGAAATGTATGGAGCTTTAAAGAAGGATTTTAAAAACTTGATGAAATTGAGAGATATATGTTTTGGTTAAAACAAAACTCTATAAGCTAGTAATTTACTAAAAATTATTTATATGGTACATTATTAACTATAAAAATCGGAAATATTATGAAACTTTCTATGATGATCCCAGTAATAGCTAATCACTAAGTTTTCCTATTTGTAAATTTTCAAGTGCACATTATTTGCTATGTCCAAAAATTTCTCAAATATTTACAATTTGTAAGATTCTATGTGAGTGTTCATACTTCTCTATCCTTGATATCCCCAACTATAAATTGGGGACAATAATTGTGCCAGTATGACAAAGTGTTAGTTAGCTTGAAATTCTGTTAAGCTACATAAACATATAGAACACTATAAGTAAAGGAAGTTATTCATGATATGACTTGATGCAGATTAAAATTTCTGTATTGTAAAAACATGAAGAGAAACAATAACAAAACAATTACGTGAAACAAAACAATTATGTCTAAAACATTAAAAATATATAACCAATCAGTATGTGACACTGTTAATAAAAATTATATTGATCAATCTTTAGGTATCAGTTATTGTTCTAAGACAGCAATCCTATTTGGTTAGCATTATTGACCTCAGTTGAAGCCTCTAATTCTCTCTTATCGGATAAGAATTTTTCTCTAATGATGTATAATGCAATGACCATTGTTTTCGTAGCAAGACTTTTTCAGTGATTAAAATATTTCATTGTAACGGATTGCTAAAACTATAATTATAAAGTCAAAGGCCAGTGATATGACACTCCCCTGTTACTTTCAATACAGGTTAGACCAATTATACTACCACAGAAATGGATCATAGTAATGTTTATTAATAGAAACATTCTGATTGAAAGCCATTTAGAAGCAGCATGGCGTGTTGGCTTATTAAAATTTTGTTGATACTAACGTTAGGAAAAATGTCTGTATTTCCTTTGTTATTTCTTTATTTATTGTTGCCTTTATGCACGTTCAAGATTGTAAGAAATCACATTAATTGTGGAGTTTTTTCCAGATTTTAGCACTGAAGTATAAATACCAGTCCTTCACTCAAGTTTCAATTTTCAGTGGAATTACCTTTTCTCATGCTTACTGTGTTTTATGTTACGATTTCGGATCCTGAATATTTTGGTTTCTTATAGCTACATGGATTGTTTTTAATCATGGTTTTAAAATTACATTTAAAAATGTGTATTTGACAACTCTGAAAGAATGGAAATGGAAAAGCCTTCTAGAAGGTAATGCAGGTGTTGGGAAGGGCTGACTGTGGCATTTATAAGTGATAGATTTTAAACATCATTCAGAAGACATTCAAATAATTATACATTTGCTTCTGTTGTTTAATACATAGATTTGTTCATTTATTCAAGAAATTTGTCTTATCCTTTTTTTAGAAAACATATTATTTTGAAATAATTCTACAGAAAAGTTATGTAATTAGCAGAGTTCCCACTTACACTTAACCTCGCTTTTAATGTTACTGCCTTTCAGAACCATAGTACAATTATCAAAAACAGAAAATTAGCATTGACTCCATAATTTTTTACTATGAATCTTACTTGATTTTTGCCAGTTTTCCACCACTATTTTTTAATAACCTTTTTACTTTAGAATAGTTTTGGATTTACAGGACAATTGCCAAGATTTACAAAGTTCCCATCTATTCCCGTTTTGTATCATGAATAAATACTAACCATTAGCAAATACTATTTCTCAATCTATTGAATGGTCTTTTTATGACATTAATGTGATAAATAACATTGATGTTTGAATATTTAATTAACCTAGCACTCCTTCAATAAACCTTATGTGAACATTTCTTTTTTTCTTTTTTTGAAACGGAGTTTCTCTGTTGTTGCCCAGGCTGGAGTGAAATGGTGCGATCTCGGCTCACTGCAGCCAACCTCTGCCTCCTGGGTTCAAGCGATTCTCCTGCCTCAGCCTCCCGAGTAGCTGGGATTCCAGGCATGTGCCACCACGCCCAGCTAATTTTTTGTATTTTTAGTAGAGATGGGGTTTCACTGTGTTGGCCAGGCTGGTCTCAAACTCCCGACCTCCGGCAATCCACCCGCCTTGGCCTCCCAAAGTGTTGGGATTACAGGCATGAGCCACCGCACCCGGCTGTAAACATTTCTTTAATAATACTTCAATATATGGCATAATATCCTTTTTATATCTTGGTGAATTTGAGTTGGAACTATTTTACTTAGGGCTTACATGTCTATTTTTGAGATATTAGCTTACAGGATTTTTTTCAGTGGAAGTTATATATAATGTCCTTGTGAAGTTTCTCATGAGGTTATACAGGCCTTATAAAACTAGTTGGTAAAATTTTTCTCCATTTTTAAGAATGCATAAGATTGATATTATTTCTGCTTTAAATATTTGATAAAATTTGCTTGTGAAGTTATCTGTGGTTGGAGTTTTAAAGTAGCAGGTTTTAATTGCAAATATAATTTTTAAATCAGATATAACACTATTAAGATTTTCTACTTTTTCTTGTGTTGGTTTTGGTCAGTTATATTTCCAAGAAATTTGTCTATTTATTCTAAGTCATCAAATTTATTATTGTAAAGTTGTCTGTGATACCTTTGTATTATTTTTATAATATTTTCAAGATCTGTAGTGATACCTCTCTTTTCATTACTGTAATTGGAAATGTGTATTTTTAACCTTTTTCTTCCCATCAGCATTGCTAGAGAGTTTTCCACATTTTTAAAGTTTTTCAGAGAATAAAATTTTGAATTTCTCCATTGTATGTCTGGCATATTTGCCATTAATTTATTCTATTACCATTCTTTTGTTCTTTCTTCTACTTCTTGAGATTGATTAACCGTATTTGTTTAGCTTCTTGAGATGTAAGCTTACATTAATGAGTCTTTTTTATTAAATTCAAAATATGAGTATTCTCTGGTTTTCATTTGGATAAGTTTTGTCATGTGTATTTAGAGCTTTGTTGCTAAATTTTCAAATATTTTAATGTTTTACAAAATCTGATATTAGGCATTTGCAAACATTATTCTGCCTAAGGAATGCATGCCATAAAAAAGGTTAAGGATACCTGTAAATAAATGTAGCCATAGGAGGTACTCAAATTCAAGTAATTTTGCTTTTTATTCCAGCATACTAGATTATTTCTGACCATGGTCAGCATTTTATGTTCATAAAATCTACGAGGGCATAAATACTTTGTACTAAGGTTCTTATTCACATTGTTTTTACAAATCTGTTTTTCTTCTTTGCTTGAAATCGAATGCAAACTAATATGTTCTTTATTGCTTTTTAAGTTTGCTTAGAAATGAAGTTATACAAAAGGAATGTAGAAAATGTAACAAATAATTCCATCTAAAGACTAGTGTGATAGGGTGGGAAATTTAGATTTGGTTCTGTCTTGTACTAGCTTTCTGATATTGTTACTTAATACAAGTTTCCTTGAGTTTTTTCATGTGTGAAATAGGGATAGTTAATAGAGATAAAACTGTCTCGAAGATGTTAAAACAATTTCTGTTACATTTTAAATATGCCATTTTTCTTGCACATCATCTACCCCTAAAGATGTCACTTTGGGGCAGACCTTTTTTACTTTCAGTCTTCAGCACCTTTATATTGTGGTTCCTAGATATCCAGACGGGTTTAGATCTTTATGTAAGCAGCATACTTATTACATACTTTTTATTATTGATATTTGATCCATCCGTCTTACAGTCTTCATTTTGAATAAACTACAGAACTTGATACCAGTATCAACTAGAGTTAACCATTACCTATCTAGATAAATAATAATGATAATGGTAGTAGCAATTGTCATATATATTATTTCTTATAGACAAGGTTCTAGCTAAAATACTTTACACTTGGTATTTTATTTTTCAAAACAACACTGTATTATGTACTTATGCTCTGATATCCTCCAGCCTAATTGTGACTCATGTTTGGTAATTTAGTGAATATCAGATAGATATATAATGTTAGATTTTATGTAACTGGTGCTATGAGTAATATTTTCATAGTGCCATTTTCATTAAAAGTGTTGTGTCCTAATGTTATCCTTAATGCTATCCCTCCCCTAGACCCCCACCCCCTGACAGGCCCTGATGTGTGATGTTCCCCTCCCTGTGTCCATGTGTTCTCATTGTTCAACTCCCACTTATTAGTGAGAACTTGTGGTGTTTGGTTTTCTGGATAGCATTAGGAGAAATACCTAATGCAGACGACAGGTTGATGGGTGCAGCAAACCACCATGGCACGTGTATACCTATGTAACAGACCTGCACGTCCTGCACATGTACCCCGGAACTTAAAGTATAATAAAAATAAATAAAATAAAATAAAAATTTTGTGTCATATAATAGAGCAAAGCCCTTTGTTTTCAGTTTAATTTAATATTTAGAAAAAAAGCAAATTTACAAATTTGACACCTAAGACATTTGTACTGTAGAAAGAGCATAAGATATATGTGAGAGGATTTTGACTGAAATACACTCTTGGAAACTATATAATCTTGGAAAAATTGAACTCATCTGTAAATTCCTATATTCTTCCAAGAAAAATGTATAAAATAGGATAACTTCACAATTCACTAGAAATAAAAAATGAATTTAAAAAGTATTTTTAAATGTCAAAGTATTATATATATATATTTTCCACAGCAACATGGATTTTTCAAAGTGGAACAGGACATATATGAGTAGATAAAATATTATAAATCAAGAATATAAGTCAAGACATTTGAATTCAACAGAATGCCCTTTCCATCCTTGTTTTGTGTTTTGGGAAGGTGGGGTGGCTTTTTTCAAGATGAGCAACTAAGGAAAGCTGCTGGTTTTCTATCTGTGAGCAGTAGGGCAGTAAAATAAGTGAGGTAAATATTTTTGGGAAGAAAGTTTAGTATTGCAAAGGCTGGGTCAAGCTGTTCCCTTATCAGAACTAGTGCTTCTAGAGTATCAAAAGGAGGAATAGGAGCATAAAATACAATTTTTACTCAACTAAATTAATTCTGTGCCCTTTTCTCCCTCTATAAATTTCTCTCCATATCTCCCCATTCTATATATTGCATATTTTGTTGATTTTTTTCTCCACGAGATCTTATTATGTAGTAAGAATTAGAAAAAAGGATGTAGATGTAATACTTCACTTTATTTTGTAAATTTGTTTTCAATCTCTGATTTTGATGGTGTCTTAAACTGTTCAGGCTGCTATAACAAAATACTTTAGGCTATGTAATTTATAAATAATAGACATTTATTTCTCACAGTTCTAGAGGCTGGGAAATCCAAGATCAAAACACCAGCAGATCTGATATCTGGTGAGGACTCCCTCTCCACTTCAGTGGTGGTGCATTGTTGCTGTGTCCTCACATGGTGGAAAGGAGCAAGGGAGCTCCCTGGAACCTCTTTTATAAGGGTACTAATCCCATTCATGAGGGTAGAGCCCTCATGGCTTAATCACTTCTCAAAGACCCCACCTCCTAATACAATCAAATTGAGTATTGTGTTTTAATATATGAATTTGGGGAGGACATGAATATTTATATCATAGCAGATGGCACTTAAAAAATTATATGCTTAGTATTTGAGAAGTACTCAGCATTTCAAATTTATTGGACATAATTTCTACTAGATAAGGTTCCTTTATTTCAGGCATTTTAAAATTTCTTAACAATAGAGAACGTCTTGATACTTGTTTCCTATGTTTAAGCTGAGTGCATTTGTAGGGCTTTTGGTGGGGAATCTCAGAATTTCAGAGTAAGGATTGTTTTTCTTATGGCTAGTATGGCACTTGGTCAGTAGCATTGTTTAGAATTTATACTTGTTGATTTCTAGAGAAGTGGTACATTAAATGCAATTGAATAAAAATTAAAGACAAACATACAACATAGTACAGTTGTTCCTTGGTATCTGTAAGGGATTGCTATGAGGACCTCCCTCAGGTACCAAATATGTGGGTGCTGAAGTTTCTGATATAAAATTATGTAGTATTTGCATATAACCTGTGCACATCCTCCTATATACTTTAAATTCATCTCTAGACCACTTACAGTACCTAACACAATGTAAATGCTATATAAATATCTGCTATACTATATTGTTTAGAAAACAATGACTAGAAAAAATGTCCTTACATGTTCAGTAGAGTCATGACTATCCATTTTGTTTCTGAGTATTTTCAATCCCTAGTTGGTTGAATCCACAGATGGGAAACCCCATGGATCCCCAATAAAATACACTTGTGTTCTAATACTGGCTGTCTCTGGAGAAATTGCAGTCTTGCAAATCAGGTGACGTGTGTTAAGGGAGAAAGCTTCTTTTGTTGACTTGAAAAAATTGTGACTTGAATCAAATGCTGATCTCCATACTGGATTAAACATTAAACTGAATATGAAAGAGGACAGTTGAACCAGTTGAGAACCCACTTTTAAGGAAAAGGGTGTTCTAAAGTATTTGTCTTGACAGCTCTTTTTTAAGCTTTTTCTTCAGGGCATTATGTTTAGTTATTTCAAGTTTGCTTCTCAGGCTGTTGATTGGAGTCTTGGATTTGCCCTAGAGGCCTCTAAAAACAGAAAAACAAGTTTCATAAGCAAAGAAATAAAATGGTTGGTGGAAATTCTCTGTTTATGCTGACTCAGGAACAGATGGTACTTCTAATCCTTCTATTAAATGCCCATTTATAATGTTCATATCTGTAGCCAACACAGAGCAAGTCTCATGGCTATGAAAGCACAGGATTGTGTAGAATTGAAAGTGAACAGTGCAACAACTGCTAGTGCCGGGACACTGAATTTTGTTCTTATTATTTTTGTGTGTGTAGTTGAACTAATACTTTGATCTTGTGTTTGGACTGAGAAGGACTCTCCAATGCACCAGAAGGATTTTTTGATATTGATAATGGTTTTAGAAGTCTTATTTTTACAACTTTTTTTTTTTTGCAATATACCTAAAGGACCTTCATCGTGGTATTAAATTCAACTTAATTTCATTGGTAAAATATATTTCAAACATATAGGTAAGAGTAAATCTTTGTGTATATAGCATCCAGATGTAATAGTTGTTTATATTTTGAAATATTTGTTTTGTATTGCTTGAAATATTTGTTTTTTTCTTTTAAAAAATATCTATCTATAGATATATATAGATAGATAGAGATACATATCTGTATACATAATCACTAAGACCAAAGCACCTTTTTCTTTCCACTTCTTACTTCTCCCAAGGAAATTCAAATCCATGTATTGATTTTTACTTTAATCATATTTATATAAGCCCATGAAAATGAATATTGATTGTTCTACTTTTAAAATGCAGGTAAATTGTGTCATTTGCAATTTGTTTCTTTAACTTCATTGTATTTTTCAAAAAATAAAATTTTGTTCATGTATTTGAACCACTGGATAGTCTTGCATGTTATGAAAGAGTGTTCAATAATCAGCATTTTATTAATAGATCATTTGTTTCTAATTTTACATATTAACCAGCGTCACTGAAATCTGTATCATTTTAGATGTTTCTTTAGATAAGACAAGGTTTTACAAGTCTACAGAACTATTTAAAGAAGTACTGAGTGGTAGGGAATATACATCAACAGATTTTCTAAATACTGTAACACACTGCCAAATTGCTCTGCTAAGTGATTACTCCAGTTATACTCTTACCAGCTATTCATGAACTCTGTAACTAACACATCCTAACCAGCACCTGGTGTTATTAAATCTTTAAAATTTTGGGCCAGCTGTATTACTGTGAAATGTTACACTGCCATTGTTTTAATTTACATTTTTCTGATCCTAGTAAAGTTTAACCTTTTTTCATATAATTATTACTCATTTGATTATCTTCTGAATTATCTATTATTTACTGACTTGTAGGAGATAGTCATTTTTCTGACGTAAACTTTTATGAGATATGTGTGTTATGACTGTTTTCTCTAAGTTTTGGGCTTTAAATATTTATGTAGGAGTTTTTGTTGTATAGTACCCTTCAGTTTATTATTAAATTTATTGGTCTCTTCCTTTAAATTTAGTTGGTTTTATTTTAAGGGATCTTAATTACTTTGAGCAAATTCAATTTTTCCAAATGTTGTGAAGTTTTGCTTTTCACTTCTCTCTTTCTCTCTCTCTCTCTTTCTTGACGGAATCTCATTCTGCCACCCAGCCTGGATTGTAGTGGTATAATCGTGGTCTGGTGTAGCCTCAACCTCCTGGGCTGAACTGATCCTTTCACTTCAGCCTCCCAAGTAGCTAGGATTACAGGCTCATGCCAACACCCTGGCTATTTTTTTCTTTTTTTTCTTTTTTTTTTTTTTTTTTTGAGATGGAGTCTTGCTCTGTCACCCAGGCTGGAGTGCAGTGGTGCGATCTCTGCTCACTGCAAGTTCCGCCTCCCGGGTTCATGCCATTCTCCTGCCTCAGCCTCCCGAGTAGCTGGGACTACAGGTGCCCGCCACCACACCCAGCTAATTTTTTCTATTTTGTAGTACATATGGGGTTTCAGCGTGTTAGCCAGGATGGTCTCAATCTCCTGACCTCATGATCCACCCGCCTTGGCCTCCCAAAGTGCTGGGATTACAGGTGTGAGCCACCGTGACCGGCCCCCTTAAATTTTTTTTTAATTTTTTCTTTTTTTTTTTTTTTTGTTGTAGAGACAGGATCTCACTATGTTGCCCAGTCTAGCCTTTTACTTTTTGGTCTGTAATCCTTTAGAATTCATTTATCAGTATTATATGAGGTATGATTTAACTTCATCTTTTTTTTTGTTTTAATATGGATAGTTGACTTTAACAGAAGAAGTAGAGCATATTTTCTCCATCAAACTGTAGTGCCAAGTCTACCTTCACAAGTTTGTTTATATTGCCATTTGTTTTTACGTTTTAACTTCCTCAGTGATATGTATATCTATGCCTATATCAATCCCTACTAATTTAATTATTGCAATTGTAAGATAAGTCATGATATCTTGTGGGCATATGCCCCTGTCGTTATTTTTGTCATTTGATCTCTTGTGTAATTTTAGGATCAGCTCTATCAAGCTCTAGAAAAAGGCTTACTGTGATGCTGATTAGAATTTAATTGCACTTTTAGATTTATTTAGGAGAACTATCAACTTCATAATTTTGGGTCTCTACATCCTAATGTGTTTTTTAATTACATCTTATTTTATTATGCTTTCTAGGAGACACATACATGTTGAATGAGATAGATAGGATTTTTTGACTTTATTCCATTTTGTACTTTAAAGGGAATAATTTAATTTTTACCATTATATGTGAATCCCTTTTTTAACTTCTGGAAATGGCTATATCAGAGCCTGTGAGAATTATGTAAAATGTAATTAGTTAGGGTACTTGCTTTTTAAAATTTACCTTTTGTAATAAGCAGAAAAATGACTCCTTAAAGATGTCCAGGTCGTAATCCTCAGAACTTGTGAATATATTACCTTACATGGCAAAAGAGACTTTGCAGATGTGGTTATGTTAAGTATCATACCTAGGTTATCCAGGTGTACCCAGTGACATCACAGAGTCCTTATAAAAAAAAAGTCTGAGAAGAGGATATAATGATGGAAGTAGAGAATAGATTAATGGGGCCAGTAGTCAAGGAATGTGGGTAACCTCCAGAGGCTGGAATAGACAAGGAATGAACGCTCCCTTGGAGCCTCCAGCAGGAACACAGCCCTCTCAATGCCTTGGTGTTATACTTCTGATCTCCAGATAGTAAGGTAATTAATGTGTGTTGATTTAAGCCATTAAGTTTGTGGCAATTTTTTTACAGCAATAATAGGAAACAAATATACCTTGTAATGAAATTGTTTTACAAGGCTCTGATGGGATTCAACGTAATAATAAAAAAGTGCCTTTAATATTATGTATCAAATAACAAACGTTGTCATAGTGTGAAGAGTT